>NW_018654713.1:0-242796 GCF_000001405.40 Homo sapiens | reverse complement strand
AAATCCTCAGTGGCTGCCGGGCATGGTGGCTCACACCTGTAATCCCAGCACTTTGGGAGGCTGAGGCAGTCGGATCACCTGAGGTCGGGAGTTTGAGATCAGGTTGACCAACATGGAAAACCTCGTCTCTACTAAAAATACAAAATTAGCCGGGCATGGTGGCGCATGCCTGTAATTCCAGGTACTTGGGAGGCTGAGGCAGGAGAATGGCTTGAACCCGGGAGGCAGAGGTTGCCTGGGCAACAAGAGCGAAACTCCGTTTCAAAAAAAAAAAAAAAAGAAGAAAACCTCAGTGGCCAGGTACAGTAGGTCATGCTTATTACTCCAGTACATTTTGGGAGGCCAAAGCGAGAGGATCACTTGAGACCAGGAGTTTGAGACCAGCCTGGGCAACAGAGCAAGACTGCATCTCCAAAAAAAAAAAAAGTACATTAGCTGGGTGTGGTGGTATGCACCAGTAGTACCAGCTATTCAGGAGGCTGAGGTGGGATGACTGAACCCAAGAGTTTGAGGCTACAGTGACATATGATTGCACCACTGCCCTCCAGCCTAGGCAACAGAGAAAGACCTTGTCTCTTGAAAAACAAAAAAAATCCTCAGAGGTCATTTTTGAAACAAGCTTCAATGCAATGTACAATCAAATAAGTTTCCTTGGTCCTTAAGTTATTCAAAATAGGTAATTTCTAAATATTAACAAAATACTTTCATGTTTCTATATCTTGCTGCTAGCAATATCTCATTCTATGAACTAGACAGCTCTGGCAATGAAGACCCCATAGGAAATATTATTTATAGTAAACTTTATTTTCATTGATATTTCACTTAACATAATTTCAAAGTCAGTCTGTGGTCTAAGATGAGCAAAAGAACAGATATTGTAAATCTCCTAAAAGACTTTTTTTCACACTGTTCCTCAGAGCAGGGAATGGGGTTTCAGAGCCCTGAAAGCTGACACCTAACATTTTACCCTTGAGATTTACCTACAGATACAGAAAGAAAAGACAACATCAATATACAAGAATCAAGCTCTATGAGGGTCTTATTAAGCTCTTGTGTTACATACTCGCCACCTCTGTAGGTTTGTAATCATGACTGATTTTCCACCTCTCTGCCAAGTTTGGTGTCTTTTTTTTTAGGTAAAATGTCAGATGCAAAAATGCTGCACTTATTTCTCTTAATATATTGAAAATAGTGGAAGATGCAGATTTTTAATTCTTCATCAGTCTAAGCTGGAACATGACTTCTGCTAATGGGGTCTGTTGAACATACTAACTCCAACTTTGGCGACCATCAGCAAACTGTTTAAAAGAAACAAGATAGAAAATGTCAGGTAAAGGACAGAACAGGCAACTATGTTTTTAAGGAACTAAACTGCTGGTTCCTCACAACTGCGTGGGGGAGGAGGTACTAAGGCAAGAGTGGTCAGGGGTAAATTTCCATCCCTGGAGGAACCAGAGAAAAAGCAAGCCAAGGGAGTCTTAAAATAGCACACATGAGCTGGATCCTAACCCAACTGCCAATAATTTGAAGAGATGAAGAAATGGAGGCAAGAGAGAGCAAGGCCTCCCCACCATCACAGATCTGATTAATGGTAGACTCTCCAGCGTCTCAGTTTACTGCTCTAGACCTTGCTCCACACTGACTTCCTTGCTTCAGGTATAAAACATTATACTGGTAGCATCACAACTATGATCAGAGTATGTAATCTTTCTCCAAAACAGATTTTTAAAAATTCCCCTACCTTCAGGATGTCTTTATGATACTTAACTAAATTTTTTGTTTTTGAGAAGGTTTTTTATTTTTATTTTTTCAGATGGAGTCTCACTCACCTCTGTTGCCCAGGCTGGAGTTCAGCAGCACAATTTCGGCTCACTGCAACCTCCGTCTCCCAGGTTCAAGAGATTTTCCTGACTCAGTGTCCCAAGTAGCTGTGATTACAGGTGTGCACCACCATGCCCGGCTAATTTTTGTATTTTTCATAGAGATGGGGTTTCACCATGTTGGGCAGACTGGTCTTGAACTCCTGACCTCAAGTGATCCGCCCGCTCTGGCCTCCCAAAGTGCTGGGATTGTAGGCATGAGCCACCACACCTGGCCTACAACTAAAGTTTTGTTTGTTTGTTTGTTTGTTTTTTGAGATGGAGTCTTGCTCTGTCCCCCAGGCTGGAGTGCAGTGGCATGATCTCAGCTCACTGTAATCTCCGCTTCCCAGGTTGAAGCAATTCTCCCTGCCCCAGCCTTCCGAGTAGCTGGGATTACAAGTGCCCACTACCATAACCAGCTAATTTTTGTATTTTTCATAGAGACGGGGTTTCGCAATGTTGGCCAGGATGGTCTTGAACCCCTGACATCAGGTGATCCGCCTGCCTCTGCCTCCCAAATTGCTGGGATTACAGGTGTGAACCACTGTGCCCAGCCACAACTAAATTTTTTAAAAACCACAATTTGGTTTAGGTTTTATAATCAAAATTAGAAAACAGGGCCAGCCGCAGTGGGTCACGCCTGTAATCCCAGCACTTTGGGAGGCCGAAGTGGGCGGATCACAAGATCAGGAGTTCCAGACCAGCCTGGCCAATGTGGTGAAACACCATCTCTACCAAAACAACAAAAATAGCTGGGCATGGTGGTGCACGCCTGTAATCCCAGCTACTCCGGAGGCTGAGGCATGAGAATCGCTTGAACCCGGGAGGCAGATGGTGATTGCAGTGAGCGGAGATCACGCCATTGCACTCCATCCTGGGTGACAGAGTGATACTCCGTCTCAATAACAACAACAAAAAATAGAAAACAGGATTCAATCAAAATTCTCTTTTAGCAAAATTTTCTGTAAAAGACATCTACACATCTAAGAAATATGGGGCCCCCAAATCTTCCATGCAAGTCACACAAAAGGCTGCAGTCATGGCTTTGCACTAAAACTTCTGCCACCATATAGGGAGGAGTTTGGATGGACTGGAAAGCAAATATGAGAACAAACCCATTTCCACGGTGAATGGATATACTCATGCCATTTTGACATTAAACTAGCTATTGTTTTTGAAACATTTCCTATTAGTGTATATATCAAATGTCAGTTGATACATAGCATCAGATATCCTGAAACAAGTAAGGTTTTGAATGCATAAGGTATCCTGGGGAATAAACTGAACTCTACATGGTAAAGAAGAGTAATAGAATGAAAGTACCTGGCACCTGCAATTAAACCTGCAGGCATGAATTTTCCAGAGTGGTAGAACCTCATTCCCATAATGCCAGCCAAGGTACCAGATGTAGCTGATGAAAAACATATAAAGAAGTGTTAAAACTCATTACATCTTCTACGCAGGGGAATCAGAAGTGGGCCAAGCCCCACCCATCTCTCAAGGCTCACGCCTCATCCTATGCTTATTCCTCTTTCCCCAAGTCGGGGAGACTACTGACTGCCCACATCCTATGGGTCCTAGTACCAATATTGGCCAAATAGGGCCCTTCACAGCCTGGGTCCTGCCTGCCCTTCCAGCTTCATCTCTTACCACTTGTCTTCTGCAAAACCCACACTTTAGCCATCAATATGTTAGTTTTCTCCAAAATGCTACTGTTTCTCACGCCCTGCAGACGCTACTTCCTCTACCCTGCACACAATTCCCACTGGGTATCTGTCGAAGCACCTACTACATGTCAAGTGCTGTGCTAGGAGCTGGAGAATACAAAGGTTATTGTAACTGTCTTTGCCCTTTTACAGTGCTTCAGGTCTGATGGGACAGACTTTAAAGACTCACACGAATAAAAAGGCTTAGACAAAAAAGTGAAGATTGGCTGAGATCTGAAATTACGCAGGAATTAATGAGCTGAAGGATGGGAAGGCCCATTCCAGGCAGAGGGGACAGTATATGCAGAGGCCCTGTGGTGACAGGGAGCATGGGACATTCACCCTAAAAGGGCAGCATGGCACAGAAGTCAAGATGCAGTTTGTGAGTAAGAGGTGCCAGACCACATGGAGCCTTGAAGGCCATACTGGGGTTTGGGTTTTCATCGTAAGAACAATGAGAAGCTATTAAAGGATGCTAAGCAGAAGGACACATGAACAGAGTCACATTTTTTTTTTTAATTTTTGAGACAGAGTCTTGATCTGTCGCCCAGGCTAGAGTGCAGTGGCGTGATCTTGGCTCACTGCAACCTCCACCTCCTGGGATCAAGCAATTCTCAAGTCTCAGCCTCCTGAGTAACTCGGACTACAGGCGTCCGCCACCACGCCTGGCTAATTTTTTTTTTAAATTAGAGACCGGGTTTCACCACGTTGCCTACGGTGGTCTCAAACTCCTGAGCTCAGGCAATCCACCCTCCTTGGCCTCCCAAACCTGAAGTCAGGAGTTACAGACCAGCCTGGACAACATGGCGAAACTCCTGTCTCTACTAAAAATAGAAAAATTAGCCGGGCATGTTGGTGGACGCCTGAATCCCAGCTACCTAGAAGGCTGAGATAGGAGAATTGCTTGAATCTGGGAGGTGGAGGTTGCAGTGAGCCAAGGTTGTGCCACTACACTCTGGCCTGGGCAATATGTGAGACTCCATCTCAAAAAAAGGGAAGTTTATGAAGGGGAAGGAGACAAGCACATCTGAATATCAATGCGGGGATCCACCTAAAAGGAGGAATACAAATACAAGACAGGATCCTGGCCAGTGTAAAGGTCTGGAGAAGATCAGGGAGAAGACACCCAAAGCCCAGAGGAAGACACTGGTGTTGGAGAGGAGGGAAACAGGACGAGGGGAGGCTTGGAGATTAAAGGCTCCAGGAGTCCCCACCTGATGGCTGCTGTTTTTTCCCTACAATAGGCGTGAGGTCATTTGCTGAGTAGAGTAGCATCAGAGAAAGGGAAAATGCAGGCTCAAGTCATTCTGGAGCATGAGGGAGGGAGCTGTTAGGCAGAGCTGGGACCTGGACACACCTCCTTCCCCAGCACACCCCATTAGCCATCACGGACCTCCCTTCCCCACCCCAGCTGATATGTACAGATCACATGGCTTCTCCCTCCCACATGGCACTCATTCTCACACGGGGTTTGTAGAGACCGCAAGGAACCCACACTCCTAGCAGTGTCTGACACATGGGTGGAGCCCCACAGAAATGTACTGAAAGCCACTCTGATAAGGAGGACTCTTCGGTCCCCCACACCACTCACTGTCCGTGCTGCTTACAGGGTACCTTTCCAGTCCTGCTTCTATGCCTATGTTTTTTGTTTTTTGACATGGAGTCTTGCTCTGTCGCCCAGGCTGGAGTGCAGTGGTGTGATCTCAGCTCAACTGCAATCTCTGCCTCCCAGGTTCAAGTGATTCTCCTGCCTCAGCCTCCCAAGTAGCTGGGACTACAGGCACCCGCCACCACCCCCAGCTAATTTTTGTATTTTTAGTAGAGATGGGGTTTCACCATGTTGGTCAGGCTGGTCTCGAACTTCTCACCTTGTAATCCACTTGCCTCGGCCTCCCAAAGTGCTGGGATTACAGGTGTGAGTCACTGCAGTCACATTTAGCTAACTGCTAAAGAGGTGATTTTCAAATGGGGAAATCGCAATTCAGATGCAAACCTAACCCAGACGTGTGATAGTTTAGTGATGCTGAAGCCAAAGGTCTTCAGTGGGCAACCTCAACGGTTGATACATTTGCCTGATAGAATTTTAATGCTACTGGGTAAATATAGTCACGAGCTATGAAAATCCTTCCATGTTCTGTATGTAAAAGATAAACAGAAACCAGCATAATTCCTGCCTCTGCACCCTCATTTTAAAACTTTCTGAGGACTTGGTAGAAGCAGTGAAATTGTCGTAAGTGAAGTGTGAAGAACTCACCCCATCCCACCAAACCAGGGTCTTTTGGAAAAGAGTATTCTGGATACATAGCTGCCCTAAGGAGACGCCAAAGCAGACATACCTAGGAAAACCCAAACGTTCCTTGGATCCTGAGACAGCTGGTAAGCACCCAGGCCGGCTAGACTGCCAAAGAGCAGCCCTGCAGCCAGGGACGGCACGCTGCCTAGAGGGAAGCAAACACAGCTTGCATTGTAATGTCAGGCACTTATTTCACTAACGGAATCCCCCAGACCGCTGCCCTACAAAGGAGGACAGCACAGAGAACTCTCAACACAGCTCATAGCCAAGGTGGACTCAAGCAGGAAGACGTTACAGAGAGTGTGCTATCTTCTCAGAGAAGTCAGGGTCTTCCCACCCCATTTTTCTCTCCTCTAATAGGCAGGGCACTTCCATCTAAGGAAAGGAAAGAAGGCCATCTTCCCTCCTTAGATGGAACTGTGGCTAGGCCTTCTTTCTAATCAGGCCTGATCAACCATGAAGGACTGGAATTGTGTACAGGCAGGACCTCCAGCAAATCACAAAAGGAGAAGGAGATAAGGCCAGTCAATTAAAAAAATACAAAGACCTGGAGAAGAAGAATTCTGGTGCAGGGGTTGGGGTGGGAATGCAGGCAAGGACTAGGGGGCAAACACAAGCACAGCCACTGACACACCCCTGCCTGGCCTAACGAGGAGAGTTCAAAATACCAGTCTGTGTAGGCCAGAGGTTTCCTCCTACTTGAGCCCAGAGATGGCACTTGGGGGTCGTGGCTGATGAATGGCAGTCAACGATAATAACAAACTACAACCGCCCCTGCCTATCTGTAGATAAAGAGGCAAAAACAAGTAATTCCAAAAGAGGCCTGGCTCAGCTTCACCAGATAACCAAAGGGCAAGGGCAGGAGCTGCAAGACTGACAAGGAAGCCTGCACTCCAGCTTGGGGACCCACAGCAAACCTGACTCAAATGAGATTGCTTCTCAGGGACACGGGCATTCACATTTCACTGGGACAACGTGAAGATGTTAAGAGGCTAAGTAACAACAAAACCCTACCTGCTTTTACATAGCCAATGATCCCACCAGAAGCAACCAGTGCTGCGTAGCCAAAGCCAAACCAATGCAAAGGCACTCTGAAAACACAAGAGGGAGAAGTCAGTGCTAACCTGGCTTTGAAAACAAACCATACTGTCATAGGATGGGACTAAAAGGTAATCATTCCCCACAGGTCCTATCACTGAAAATAAGGACCACAGAGGTTGGATGACTTTCTGAGAGTCACACAACTCAGCAAAGCCAGAGCTGGGACTCAAACCCAAGTTTCTGGCCCACAGGTCCAGTGATCCTCCCATCCCCCATGCCATCCCAGGCAGTCTACTCTTAAGGTTCTTTTCAGCTAAGGAAAGGAACTCTGGTTTCCAGAAGCTCCTGGCTACTCCATACCCATTTACTGCACTCACACTGAGCCAGTGTCCTGCATTTTTCTCTTCTCTGTCCAGACAGGAGACTACCCCAGGCCTGCACCTGCAGAAAACAAGCTGGATCAGAGGTAGTTAAAAGCACAGCTCTCCAGCAGTCAGAAAGAAGTGTGTCCAACCTGCAAGCTACGCAACCTAAGTCTCAGTATTCTTCACTGTACCATGAGGATAACACTGGTACCGATTTCCTGGGGCTGTAGTGAGCATTCAATGGATGTCACATGTAAAGGTGCTTAGCACCTAGTAAACCCTGAACAGATGCTGACCATTGTCATGAAAACCTCAGTTTTAATCACATAGGCCCACGGGAAACTCAGCAAGATCCACTGACCAGCTCTAAAATCAGGGAATGTGTTAGTCATTTCATCAGCTACCCATGTTATCACTAAATTCAAAAGCAAATACTCCCGTGCCCTTAATCCAACTACTTTAATGTCTCTTTTGAGGGGAGGTAGGGGTGTTGCTTTTCATCCCTGCTGCAACAGCCAATTTCAAAGCTCAACTTTTTTAGAAACTTCTGCGTCCAACTCACAGTTCTTGTTAGGAGGGCAGTAGTAGGAGAGGATAAAATATACGGAAACAGTGGTCATATTCACATGTGACACTACACCCTTGGAAAAACAGCTTCTATTTTCTTACAGAAAGTATCCTGTGTCCAGTGAGCCAAAAGATGAAAGCAATGCATACCCCGTTTATTCTGTTTAAAGAATTAGGCCAAGCGCAGTGGCTGACGCCTGTCATCCCAGTACTTTAGGAGGCCGAGGCGGGCGGATCACCTGGGGTTAGGAGTTCAAGACCAGCCTGGCCAACATAGTGAAACCCATTGTCTACTAAAAAATATAAAAAAATTAATCGCGCATGGTGATATGCGACTGTAAATCCCAGCTACTTGGGAGGCTGAAGTGGGAGGATGGCTTGAGCCCAGGAGGCAGAGGCTGCAATGAGACATATTCAGGCAACTGCACTCAAGCATGGGCGACAGAGCAAGTCCCTCCCTCAAGGACAAAAAAAAAAAAAAAAAGAATTAAGTTTCCATAAAACAGGGAAGGGCAGCGGGCTTGGGATCTTGCCCACAGTTCTTAACTCGAGACGGCACCGAGTAAGGGAGGCTTTTAAAGAGATGGAGCAAGAAAATCACCAAGAAACGAGGCAACACTATGCTACATGGGTAAGCCTTTGCCTCAGGAGCCCAGGGGCTCCGCGCATCCACAACTTCTTTTAAAAGCAGAAAATACCCAACGAGAAAAGCACCGACCACACGGCCTGAAGGCCCGCTGAATCGGGGGGACGAAAAGCAGACGGCCGTGAAACTCCTAAATAATCCCTAAAAGTTAAAAGTGGCAGAAAATAAGAATAATCCCCAAATACTCGCACCGGTCTCACGAAGGCCCCGGCTGTCTACAAGGGCGCGCAAGCCGCAGGAATGACTGCGAGGTGTCGCCGGAAATGCAGCGGCGGGCGCTCTCCGTCCCGGTGGCGGGGCGAGGAGAGGGGAGCGGCTCTGTTGTGCCTGCGCAGTGTACCGGGAGAGGGGCGGTCAGAGAATGGGGACGGTGCGGGCGGGGCTTGAGCCGCCAAGTAGCAGCATGCGCCCTGCATTCAGCGGGTGGAGAGTGGGGCGGGGCATCGCGGCGAGCTCCTGAGTCCAGGGAACGCGGCGGGGAATCTCTGTGCTTCCCCTGTCCGCAGCGCCTGCAGGGCCGACCAGTATCAGTCCCAGGTCCAATCCTGAGTGGCCAAAAGCAGGAGACCCGGAGTTGGACCTGGGACTTGCACAAGCCGGACCACGTGAGCTCGGCCACGCCAGAGGTGAGGCCACCGCTGCGGGACCAGGGAATCTGAGGCTGGATTTTGAAGGACCCCATTAATAGAGGAACAAGTTACAGGGTATAAACCAGATGCAGGCCATCAGGGAGGAGTGTCACTCAAGCCCGATCTTGTCTACACCAGGAAGGGCCTGCCTGGAAGAAAATACGGGGGCTGCAGAATAATGTGGCTCAAAGCCAAATATCCGTTTGTTTTAGGGAGTGAGGCTGCTTGAGAAGCATCTTAAAGGGGGATGGGGAGTAAGTTAAACCTGATTTTTACCCAGCTCTGTGGACCCAAAATATCCACAGCATATTATCTCCATTCCCACTTGGAGTCACTCCTATTCCGTTTCCTGCACCACCATTCTCTTAGTTGCTCTACACTAAAATTTGCTGTCATCGTTGACTTCTCCCTCTCCATCCCCTACAAGTATCAACATACACAAATCTGACCAATATAATTGTCAGTGAATAAAGCGAATTCCAGCCAAGTTTTTTTTTTTTTTATGTGGAGTCTCACTCTATTGCCCAGGCTGGAGTGCAGCGTATGATCTTGTCTCACCACTACCTCTGACTCCCATGTTCAACTGATTCTCCTGCCTCAGCTGCCTGAGTAGCTGGGATTATAGGCCTGTACCACCACCCCTGGCTGCCAGGCTAATTTTTGTTATTTTTAGTGGAGATAGTGAGAGATCACAACGTGCCAGTGTGTTCAAAATTGATGGCTTCTTGGTCTGACTTGAGAAAGCTGCAGACCCTCGCGATGAGTGTTAGTTCTTAAAAGCAGTGTCTCTAGAGTTTTTCTTCCGATGTTTAGAAGTATTCAGGGAGTTTTTCTGCTGGTGGGTTTGCTGTCTCACTGGCTCAACGAGCAAAGCTACAGACCTCTGTGGTGGATGTTAAAGCTCTTAAGGCAGTGTGTCTGGAATTGTTTGTTCTTCCCGGTGGGATCGTGGTCTCCCTAGCTTTGGACTGGCTCAAGGAGCAAAGCTACAGACTTCTATAACGAATGTTAAAGCTCTTAAGGCAGTGCGTCTGGAATATGTTTGTTCTTTCCGGTGGGATCGTGGTCTTCGTAGCTTTGGGAGCAAAACTGCAAATCTTCGCAGTGAGCGTTACCACTTGTAAAGACAACACAGGACCTAAGCACCGAGCAACAGCAATATTTGTTGCAAAAAGAAAAAGAGAAAGAACAAAGCCTCCTCCACATAGAAGAAAACCCAAGTGCGTTACAACTACTGGCTTGGGCAGCCTGCTTTTATTCTCTTATCTGGCCCCACCCACATCCTGCTGATTGGTAGAGCCGAGTGGTCTGTTTTGACAGGGTGCTGATTGGTGCGTTTACAATCCCTGAGCTAGATACAAAAGTTCTCCACGTCCCCACCAGATTAGCTATAGAGTGTCCACACAAAGGTTCTCCAAGGTCCTGCCAGAGTAGCTAGATACAGAGTGTGGATTGGTGCATTCACAAACCCTGAGCTAGACACACGGTGCTGACTGGTGTGTTTACAAACCTTGAGCTAGATACAGAGTGCCGATTGGTGTATTTACAATCCCTAAGCTAGACATAAAGGTTCTCCACGGTCCCCACCAGAGTAGCTAGATACAGTGTCCATTGGTGCATTCACAAACCCTGAGCCAGACACAGGGGGCTGATTGGTGTGTTTACAAACCTTGAGCTAGATATAGAGTGCCAATTGGTGTATTTACAATCCCTGAGCTAAACATAAAGGTTCTCCACCTCCCCACCAGACTTAACCCAGCTGGCTTCACCCAGTGGATCCCACACCAGGGCTGCAGGTGGAGCTGCCTTCCAGTCCTGCGCCCTGCGCCCACACTTCTCAGCTCTTGGGTGGTTGATGGGACTGGGCCCTGTGGAGCAGGGGGTGGTGCTCATCAGGGAGGCTCGGGCCCTACAGGAGCCCACGGAGGTGGTGGGAGGCTCAGGCATGGCGGGCTGCAGGTTCCGAGCCCTGCCCCGTCGGAAGGCAGCTAAGGCCCCGCGAGAAATCCAACGCAGCGCCGGTGGGCTGGCACTGCTGGGGGACCCAGTACACCCTCTGCAGCCGCTGGCCTGGGTGCCAAGCCCCTCATTGCCCAGGGCCGGCCGGCCGGCTGCTCCGAGTGCGGGGCCCGCCAAGCCCACGCCCACCCGGAACTCCAACTGGCGCGGAAGCGCCGCGCGCAGCCCTGGTTTCCGCTCGCGCCTCTTCCTCCACACCTCCCTGCAAGCTGAGGGAGCCAGCTCTGGCCTTGGCCAGCCCAGAAAGGGGTTCCCACAGTGCAGCGGTGGGCTAAAGGGCTCAAGTGCCTCCAAAGTGGGAGCCCAGGAAGAGGAGGCGCCGAGAGCGAGGGCTCTGAGGACTGCCAGCACGTCGTCACCTCTCACTAGCAGCCTTCGCTTGCTCTCGGTGCCTCCTTAGCATCGGCCAGGCTCGAGGAGCCCTTCAGCCCGCCGCTGCGCTGTGCGGGGCCCTCCCTGGGGCTGGCCGAGACCGGAGCCGGCTCCATCTGCTCGTGGGGAGGCGTGGAGGGAGAGGCGCAGGCGGGGACTGGGGCTGCGCTGCCCCGGGTTCCAGGTGGGCGCAGGCTCGGTGGGCCCCGCACTTGGCGCGACCTGCCGGCCCCTGCTGGGCTTGATCGGAGGCTGGGTCCAGTGCGTGGACCGCCGTTCCCTCTTGGCGGGGTCGTTGGCCACGATGGCGGGTCTCTGTCTCTCTCCTCCTCTTTTCCTCTTGGTTGTGTGGGAGGAGCTCCCGGAGTGCCCAGGCTAGTTGCCAAAAAGTCCCACCCAACTCCCAGCGAGAGGTGAAGCCCGCTGGGCTTCTGGGACGGGTGGGGACTTGGAAAACTTTTGTGTCTAGCTAAAGGATTGTAAATGCACCAGTCAGCAGTTTTTTGTCTAGCTAAAGGTTTGTAAACGCACCAATCAGCGCTCTGTGTCTAGCTAATCTGGTCAGGACTTGGAGAACTTTTGTATCTAGCCAAAGGATTGTAAACGCACCAATCAGCACTCTGTGTCTAGCTAAAGGTTTGCAAATGCACCAATCGGCACTCTGTAAAATGGACCAATCAGCTGGATGTGGGTGTGGCCAGATTAGGGAATAAAAACTGGCCACCCACAGCCAGTAGGGGAAACGTGCTTGGGTGTTTTCTTGGGCTGACAGAGCTTTGTTCTTTTGCTTTTTGCAATAAATGTTGGTGCTGATAGTTCTTTAGATCCGTGCAATGTTTATGAGTTTTAATACTCACCGTGATAAGGCTACAGTTTTGCTTCTGAAGCTAGTGAGACCACAAACCCACTGAAAGCAGATGAAAAACTGGATGTGCCACCTTTATGAACTGTAGCACTGACTGCAGAGGTTGGTGGTTTTATTGCTGAGGCTAGCAGAGAGCACAAACCCACCAGAAAGAACAAGTAACTGCAGATGTGCCACCTCTAAGAGGTGTAACACTCACTGCAAAGGCCTGCAGCTTCATTCCTGAAATCAGTGAGACCGTGAACCCACCAGTAGGAAGAAACTAGATAATGTCTGAATGTCGGAAGGAACAAACTTTGGACCCACCATCTTTAACAGTTGTAACATTCAATCATGAGGGTCTGTGGCTTTATTCTTGAAGTCAGCAAGACGAACCCACAAAGTCCAGACACAATGGGGTTTCACCATGTTGGCCCAGCTGGTCTCAAACTCTTAATCTCATCTGCCCACCTCAGTCTCCCAAAGTGCTGGGATTAGAGGCATGAGCTGCTTTGCTGGCCTTTGTAGCATGGTTTTTGCTTTTTTTTTTTTTTTTGAGATGGAGTTTTGCTGTTGTAGAAAGTAGAAAAGCTTCTCTTCAAACCTTGTCTTGGTTTAAAAATAGACACCAGGAATAATCACATCTTACTCCAAAGCCTGCTATCAACTGTTAGTTCTTACGATTTAGCCCAGTTAGTTGCTTTGGCTTATTCAGGCATGTCTGGACAGGCCCAAGCAAGTCTCAGCTCATATTTTATGCCCCTTCCTTATTTGGAAATGTTATTATTTCCTTAAACCTTTCATAAGCAACTTAGTCTCCTTTATCCTCCCTTGCACCTAACTATTTAGGAAAGTTTCAGGTTGTTAGCAAATTGGAAATTTAAGACCGAGGTCCAGCACCAGTCAATGCATGCAGGACACAGCAGTAAGGAGGACCCAAATGTGTAAACCCTCTGCTTTTCCTTTGTTCAAGTGTGCTATTGCCGTTGTTCCATCTGTGAGAAGCACCCTTTCTGCAGGAAGTGAAAATGGCCTTGCTGAGAGAATTAAATTTATGTTTGAGTGCTATTTTGTGGTGCTGGGGAACAAGCATTTCTAACAGTTGCCCAGGCTGGAGTGCAGTGGCATGATCTCAGCTCACTGCAACCTTTGCCTCTCAGGTTCAAGTGATTTTCCTGCTCAGCCTCCTGAGCGGCTGAGATTACAGATGTGTGGCACCATGCCTGGCTATTTTTTGTGTTTTTAGTAGAGACAGTGGTTCACCATGTTGGCCAGGCTGGTCCCACACTCCCAGCCTCAAGCAATCTGCCTGCCTGGGCCTCCCACAAGTGTCGGGATTACAGGTGTGAGCCACCATGCCCGGTCGCGGCGTATATTCTTAAAGACAAACTTTCCACTTGTGGCAGCACCTACCTTGCAGATAGCAAAATTGAAGCCCTTGTTTATCACAGCTGATTCTAACCAGCCAACGCTGATAATGACTAAGAACTTGCAGGAATTGCAGTATGCCAGACCTTCAATTTAATTGAAGACCTTCCTGAACAATTAATAGGGAGACTTGTCTTAACCTGCAGGAACGGCTTTAGGGGCTCATTCTTCCCTATGCAGGCGCAAGCCTCAAACCTTAATTAGGATCATCCACCATGATTCCCGCACTCTCCCCCTCACCTTATACTTGAAGAAACTCAACCTCAGAGAATTGTATTATCTACGGTCTTTGTCAGTGGTACAGCTATGATTTAAAGTAAGGTCTGAAATACAAAAATTAGCCAGGCGTGGTGGCACACCCCTGTAATCCAAGGTACTCTGGAGGCTGAGGCAGGAGAATTGCTTGAACCTAGGAGGCGGAGGTTGCCATGAGCCAAGATTGCGCCATTGCACTCCAGCCTGGGCAACAGAGCAAGACTCTCTCAAAAACAAAGAAACGAACAAACAGTGTAAAGAAAGAAAAGCAGCATTTTAAATAATGTTTATATAACTCATAGGAAAGTAGGAAAAAGAAAACAAAAACAGCACAAACAGCAAAACAAAAAAATGGCCAACTTAAGTCTTAAAACATTAATGACATTAAATGTAAACAGTCTAAATACATCAATTAAAAGACAGAATGGATTAAGAAATATGACACAACTATATGCTGCATACAAAAAATTCACTTCAAACATAAGGATACAGGCAAGTTGCAATAAAAGACGGAAAAAATATATCATGCAAACAAAAGAAATCAGAAGTAGCTACATTACTATCAGATAGATTTCAGAGCAAAGAAAATGACCAGAGACAGTGACATTGTATAAAGATTTAAGAGTCAATCCACCAAGAAAACAGAAATCCTAAATGTATATGTACCTAACAATAGAGCTGCAAAAGATGTGAAACAAAAACTGAAGGAATTGAAATAAGAAATGGACAAATCCAGAGTTATAGTTGGATGCTTCAATCCCTCTAAATGATGATAAAAGCAGTAGACCAGAAGTCAGGAAGGATATAGAAAAACCCCAATAACATCATCAACTAACAGGATCTAATATACATTTATAGAGTGCTCCACCCAACAACTGCAAGATACATATTCAAGTGTCCACAGAACATCTATCAGGAGAGATCATATCCTGGGCCATAAAACAAATCTCAACTAATTTAAAAGAATTGAAATCATACAGAATGTGTTCTCCAACAACAATGGAATCAAATTAGAAATCAGTAACAGAAAGATAAGAAAATCTCCAAACACTTGGAAACTAAACATTTTAAAATAATCTGTCGGTCAAAGAGAAAAATCCAGAAATTAAATTAAGGCTAGGCATGGTGGCTCTAAAAATTAAAAATCTAGAAATTAAATTAAGGCTAGGTAGGTGTGGTGGCTCATGCCTGTAATCCCAGAACTTTGGGAGGCCAAGGTGGTAGGATCGCTTGAGTCCGGGAGTTTAAGAGCAGCCTGGCCAACGTGGTAAAACCCTGTCTTTATAAGACACAAAAAAGCCAGGCGTGTTGGTATGTGCCTCTAGTCCCAGCCATTCAGGAGGATGAGGTGGGAGAATTGCCTGTCTCTAGGAGGCCAAGGCTGCAGTGAGCCAAGATCACGCCATTGCACTCCAGCCTGGGTGACCTTGCCCCCTCCCCTGCCGCCAAGAAAAGTGCATTATCCTGAATAAAATGAAAATACAACACATTAAAATATATAGCATTAGTAGCAATGAATAAACCAAAAGTGAAATTAACAATTCAATTTACAATAGCATCAAAAGGAATAAAACCCTCAGAAATAAATTTAATAAAATAAATACAAAATTTATAAACTGAAAACTAAAAAACACTGTGGAAAGAAATGAAAGAATACCTAAATAAATAAAAGGATATCCTTTGTTTGTGGATTGGAGGATTTCAAATTTTTCAGGTTATAATATTCCTCAAATTGATCTACAGATTCAATGCAATTCCTGTCAAATTCAAGCTGGACTCTGCAGAAATTGATAAACTGATATTAAAATTCATTAAAAATTCAAGGGACACAGTACAGCCAAAATAATCTTCAAAAAGAATAAAGTTGCAAGACTCACCTTTCCTTATTTCAAAACTTACTACAAACCTATAGTAATCAAGACTGTATTGTACTATTATAAGGATGGGCATATAAATCAATGGATTAGAATTGTGAATCCAGGGCCGGGCGCGGTGGCTCACGCCTGTAATCCTAGCACTTTGGGAGGCTGAGGCGGGTGGATCACCTGAGGTCAGGAGTAATAAACATTTTTTCAAAAAAGATAAAAGAGGCTCACCATCATTAGCCATCAGGAAATGCAAATCAAAATCACAATGAGCTACTAAGCCCCACCCACTGGAATGGCTATAATAAAAACAAAAAACCAGGTGTCAGCAAAGGTGTGGCAAAATTGGAACACTCACACACTGGTGGTGGAAATATAAAGGGTGTGATCGCTTTAGGACAGTATGGCAGTCCCTCAAAAGGTTGAACATAAGAGTAACCATCTGATTCCGCAATTTTACTTCTAGGTATATATGTACCCAAGAAAAATGAAAACATATGTTCATGCAAAAACTTGTAAATGAATGTTCAAAGCAACATTATTCTTACTAGCCAAGAAGAAACAAATATGCATCAGCTATAGAATGAACAAACTGTGTTATATCCATGCAATGAAATATTATTTGGCAATAAAAAGAAATGAAATACTGATATATGTTACAATATGAATAAACCCTTGCCAGGCACAGTGGCTCACACCTGTCATCCCAGCACTTTGGGAGGCCGAGGCAGGCGGATTACCTGAGGTCAGGAGTTTGAGACCAGCCTGGCCAACATGGCGAAACCCCGTCTCTACTAAAACTACAAAAATTAGCTGGGCATGGTGGCGGGTGCCTGTAATCCCAGCTACTTGGGAGGCTGAGGCAGGAGAATCGCTTGAACCCAGGAGGTAGAGGTTGCAGTGAGCCGAGACCGCACCATTGCACTCCAGCCTGGGCAACAAGAGCGAAACTCCATCTAAAACAACAACAACAACAAAAAACCAATATGGATGAACCCTGGAACAATATGTGAAGTGAAATCACAAAAGACCCCAAATGGAATGATTCCATTTCTATGAAATGTCTAGACTAGGCAAATCCTACACATACGGAAGACAGATCAGTGGTTGCATACACCTAGGGGTGTTTGGGAGGGAGAAATGGGGAATGACAGCTAAGGGGTCCAAGGTTTCTTCTTGGAGTGATTAAAATGTCCTAATATTGATTTTTGTGATAGTTGCACTCTGTGAATAGACTGAAAAACATTGAATTGTATGCTTTCGATGGGTGAATAGTATGTTGTATGAATTATGTCTCAAAGTATTACAAAAAACCAAACTGTGTTTGCTACTTGGGAGGCTGGGGCCAGAAGATTGTTTGAGGCCAGAAGTTTGAGACCAGCCTCAGCAACCATAACACAACCCTGTCTCTTTTAAATAGATAGATACACTACTACATACAAAAACAGTGGCATGTAGCAAAAGCAGTGCTAAAAACCTTAAGAGCACACATTTGAAATGAGGGAAAAACTCACATAATATAAGCTCCTGCCTCAAGAACCTAGTAAAAAAGCCAGGTGTGGTGGCTCACACCTGTAGTCCCAGCAACTCCGGAGGCCAAGGTGGGAGGATGGCTTTAGCCCAGGAGTTAAAGGCCAGCCTGAGCAACATAGCAAGACCATGTCTCTAAAAAATCCTAAAACAAACCAAAAAGAAAATAGAAAAAGAAGAGCAAAAGAAACCCCAAAGCAAGCAGAAGGAAAGAAGGAAATAAGGATGAGAGCAGAAAATGAAATTGAAAACAGAAGGAGTCAATGAAACAAAGAACTGATTCTTTGTTTTGTTTTGTTTTTGAGACACAGTTTCTCTCTGTTGCCCAGGCTGGAGTGCAGTGGCACAGTCTCGGCTCACCGCAACCTCCGCCTCTCGGGTTTGAGCGATTCTCCTGGCTCAGCCCCCCTAGTAGCTGGGATTACAGGCGCCTGCCACAATGCCCGGCTAATTTTTATATTTTTAGTAGAGACAGGATTTCACCAGGTTTTCCAGGTTGGTCTTGAACGTCTGACCTTAGGTGATCTGCCCACCTCGGCCTCCCAAAGTGCTGGGATTACAGGCATGAGCCACCGTGCCTGGCAGAACTGGTTCTTTGAAAAGATAATAAAACTGACAAAGCTCTAGGAAGACTGACAAAGAAAACAGAGAGGACACAAATTACCAATATCAGGAATGAAACAGGGGATGTCAAGTTGACCTTTCTTCAACTTGACAAAGAATATCTACGAAAACCCTACAGCTGGCATTATACTTAACAGTGAAAGACTGAATATTTTTCCCCTAAGATCATAACAAGGCAAAGATGTCTGTTCTCACTATTGTTATTCAACACAGTGCTGCATCTTCTAGTCAGTTAATAAGGCAAGAAAATGGGGAAAAATACAGATAGAAATAACACTATTTATATTTGCAGATAACATAATTGTCTACATAGAAACCCCCAACAAAACAACTCCTAGAATAAATGAATTCAGCAAGATAGCAGGATGTAAGATCACACAAAAATAAACTGTATTTCTATGTATTAGCAATGAATATGGGCACCAAAATTAAAAATATCACTTGTAGGCCAGGTGCAGTGGCTCATGCCTGTAATCCCAACACTTTGGGAGGCCAAAGTGGGCAGATCACGAGGTCAGGAGTTTGAGACCAGCCTAGCCAATATAGTGAAACCCCATCTCTACTAAAAGTACAAAAAAATTTGCCGGGCATGGTGGCAGGCACCTGTAATCCCAGCTACTTGGGAGGCTGAGGCAGGAGAATCGCTTGAACCCAAGGAGGCAGAGGTTGCGGTCAGCCGAGATGGCGTCACTGCACTCCAGCCCAGGCACCAGTGCAAGACTCCATCTCAAAAAAAAAAAAAAAAAAAAAAAAAATTACTTGTAATTCCCCCACCCCAAATACTTACAAATAAATCTAACACGTGCAAGATTTGTATGCTGAAAACTACACAACACTGATAAAAGAAATCAAAGATCTGGCTGGGCGCAGTAGCTAAGGCCTGTAATCCCAGCACTTTGGGAGGCCAAGGCGGGCGGATCACCTGAGGTCAGGAGTTTGAGACCAGCCTGGCCAACATGGCGAAACCCTGTCTCTTCTATAAATAAAAAAATTAGCCGGGCGTGGTGGTGTGTGCCTGTAATCCCAGCTACTCGGGAGGCTGAGGCAGGAGAATTGCGTGAATCCAGGAGGCAGTAGTTGCAGTGAGCTGAGGTCGCAAAATTGCACTCCAGCCTGGGTGACAAGAGCAAAACTGTCTAAAAAAATAAAAATAAAATAATAAAAAAATCAAAGATCTATACAGCCATGTGCTGCGTAATGACATTTTGGTCAATAATGGTTTGGTCAATAACGGATCACATATACAATGGTGGTCCCATAAGATTATGACTATACCGTATGGCCTTGGTGTGCAGCAGGCTCTACCATCCAGGTTTGTGTAAGTACACCCTGTGATATTCACACAAAATGAAATCACCTAATGAGGAATTTCTCAGAATGTATTCCTGTCATTATTGACATGACTGTACATTTTTTTTTTGTAGAGAAGGATAGAATTATCCTAAATTCTATATGGAAAGGCAAAGGAACTAGAATAGTGAAAATAATTTTGAAAAACAGAAAAGGGGGAGAATCATTCTACTCAAATTCAAGGCTTATTATATAGCTGCAGTAATCAAGACCATGTGGTTCCAGCAAAAATATCAACAGAGATCAATAGAACACAATAGAGAGCCCAGTAATAGACCCACACTAATATGCTCAATTGAATTCTGGCAAAGATGCAAAAGTATTTCAATAGAGGAAGAACAGTCTTTTCAACAAGGCGCTAGAGCAAGTCGATATCCATAGGCAAGAAAATAAACTTGGAATTAAACCTCACACTTTATACACTCAAAATGGATCACATACTAAATGTAAAATGTAAAACTCTACAAAACCTTTAAAAAATATATAGAACCTCTTCAGGATCTAAGGCTAGACAAAGGTCTTGGACTTCACACCAAAAGCATGATCCATGGAAGGAAAAATTGATGAACTGGATTTCAACAAAATAAAAAACTTGAGCTCTGCAAAAGGCTGTTAGGACAAAAACACAAGCTACAGACTAGGCAAAAATATTTGCAAACCACATTATCTGAGAAAGGCTGAGTTTCTACAATATATAAAAGAACTCTTGGCCAGGTGCGGTGGCTCACGCCTGTAATCCCTGTACTTTGGGAGGCCGAGGCGGGTGGATCACTAAAGATCAGGAGTTCGAGACCAGGCTGGCTAACATGGTAAAACCCCACCTCTACTAAAAATACAAAAATTAGCTGGGTATGGTGGCACGCACCTGTAATCCCAGTTACTCAAGAGGCTGGGGCAGGAGAATCGCTTGAACCTGGGAGGTGGAGGTTGCAGTGAGCCGAGATCACGCCACTGCACTCCAGCCTGGGTGGGTGACAGAGTAAGACTCCGTTTCAAAAAAAAACAAAAACAAAAAACTCTCAAAATTCAACAGCAAAAAAGAAAAAATATATAATGTGAACATGGGCAAAAGACTTTTCACCAATTATGATACACAGATGGCAAATAAGCACATGGAAAGATGATTAACATCATTAGCTATCAGAGTAATGTAAGTTATAACCGCAATAAGGTATCACTACACTCTTACCAGAATGGCTAAGACTAACATCAAATGCTGGAAAGATGCAGAGAAACTGTATCACTCAAACATTACTGGTAGAAATGTAAAACCATACAGCTATTCTGGAAAACTTTGGAATTCCTGGGCATTTATCCAAGAGAAATGAAGACTCTAGTTCACATAAAAACCTGTACACAAATGTTTACAGCAACTTTATTTAGATACCTAATAACAGGAAACATTCCTGACGTCCTTCCACAGGTGTTTACTATGGTACATCTATACTGACATCCCACTCAGTACTAAAAACAGAACTATTGATGCAACAAGCTGGATCAATGCCCAGAGATTATGCTGAGTGAAAAGCCAATCCCAAAAGAAAGTATAATCCAATCAATTTTGGCAAAATTAGAGATGGAGAACAGACCGCTGGTGCCAGAGGTTATGAAGGTGGGCATAGCTATACGAGCACAAGAGGAAACTGAATATGGCTTATGACAACAGATGGGATCATTGTGATAGAAATGTTCTGTATCTTGATTATATCATTTCTATCCTATCTTGGCTTGGTTGTGATATTGCCCTTGTTTTGCAAGATGTTATCATTGGGAAAACCGGGTGGAATCTCTGTATTATTTCTTACAAGTGTATATTTCTCACAATGATCTCAAAATTTTTGAGTTGAATTGAGAAAAAAAAAAGCCAACGACCTACATTTATGCTAATAGCTTATGAAATAAGCTAACAAAGGAGTAGACTGATATTAAGCACACAATTTGGTTCATTTCCTAGACAATTTATTCCTATGGAGTGGCAATTCCAGTGCCCGTTCTTATTCTGCCTAATCAGAAGTGATTCTCCTGATGGTCTCAGGTATCTAGTATCTGCCTGGCTAATTCAAACCTATGGATCCCCAATAATGTCTTTTTCTTTCTTTCTTTTTTTTAAGACAGGGTCTGGCTCTGTTGTCCAGGCTGGAGTATAGTGGTGCAGTCGCAGCTCACCGTAACTTCCACATCCTGGGCTCAAGCCATCCTTCCCACCTCCGCCTCTTGAGTAGCTGGGAGCATGTCACCACATCTAGCTAATTTTTTGGGAGAGACAGTCTCCCTATGTTGCCCATGCTGGTCTCAAACTCCTTGGCTCAAGCTACCAGCTACTCGGGAGGCTGAGGCAGGAGAATAGCCTGAACCCAGGAGACGGAGGTTGCAGTGAGCTAAGATCGCGCCACTGCACTCCAGCCTGGGCAACAGAGCAAGACTCCGTCTCAAAAAAAAAAGAAAAAAAGAAAAGATCATTTTCCCGTCCTTAAATTATTTTGTACATCTACTACTTGGAAGCAAAGTAGTTTAAAGTCTGGCAATCTCTCTATAATCTTAGGTACGTGGTCCTACACTTAAGCATATGTTTGTTTCATAGATATGTATAATTATATATGTATAATCTTTTAAGTTTGTCTGGTTGGTATGAAAATCTAAAATTACTACTTACCATTTGAAGAAGCCAAAGGCAGTTCTTAAATTCTTTCCCATTTAAGAGAAAATTTTGAATAATGACTCCTTCATCCAAATCTGATAAAGAATGTGTTCAATATTTTATATTATTTTACAGTATATTTTGAGAAAGATCTTTATTTGCTTTGTACAAAGTAAAAATTACATGACACATTAACATATTATATATCAACATGATACATAATTCATAAAACACTGTCTGCCAAAAGTAATTTTACCAGTTTTTTTTTTTTTTTTAAAAAAAACCATCTAAAAGTGGTTTTTTAATATATATATTTTTTCCAAAGGAAGAAATTTCTTGCTTTTACTCAGGGAAAAAAAAAAAATTAAGGTACATTTGAGTAGAATGATTTCATCTAAAAGAGTTCTTTCAGGAGACATCTGTGATTCACTGCATTGTTTTTATTTTCTTCTTTTTCCTCTTCTTTTCCAACATTTCTACCATTTTCCTCTTCTTGGTTGATATCAGGCCACTTTCTTTTGTTGCTTTCTTACTGTCACCTGTTAAACCGCGTTTCTTTGTGTTAGGTTTTGACCGCTTTTCTTCTTTGTGCACTGTGTCACCAGGCTCCTTTTTGCCAATTTTGGACTGTTCTTTACTTACTAAAACACAAAAGAGAGTGCTTTTAAAAAAAGACTGTTTTCCCCTTTGAATGAAATAAACACAAGCTGTCAATAAAGTGAAATTATCTGGATCTCCTCCACTTCTACAATTTAAGAGATAATAGATTATTCAAAATTTCAAAACAATCAAATTCGATTACCAGGAGAAGGCTCTGCAGCTGGAGGAAGGCTTTCTTTCATGTCTGCCACTTTGTCTAGCCACACTCCAAGACACGTCAGCCTGGCATTAGTGTTTATTTCACAGAGTAAAGATGGGGGAACTTTCTAAACAGAAGAAACAAACATTCATAATGTGCATTTTCAATAATTTCTTTTTCCATAATCAAGTTACCTTAATTTAAAACTTCCTGTATTTTCTTGAGTACAAAATATGATATTCAGAAGCAACATATAATCTTCACTCATGATTAGTTTGACTGTTATTCACAGAGCCAATTTTGCATGTTCTCACTCATAGGTGGGAATTGAACAATGAGAACACACAGACACAGGAAGGGGAACATCACACACCAGGGCCTGTTGTGGGGTGGGGGGCAGGGGGAGGAATAGCATCAGGAGATACACCTAATGTTAAATGACGAAGTTAATGGGTGCAGCACACCAACATAGCACATGTATACATATATAACTAACCTGCACGTTGTACACATGCACCCTAAAACTTAAAGTATAAAAAAAAAGAAAAAAAAACATATATCCACACAAAAATTTGCATATGAATGTTCACAGAAGCACTATTCATAACATCCAAAAGGTGGAAACAATCCAAATGTCTATCACCTGATGAATGGATACATAAAAAGTGGTATATCCACACAACGGCGTAGTATTCAGTCATAAAAAGTAGTGAAGTACTAACATATGCTATAACATGATGAACCTTAGAAACATACACGAAGTGAAAAACGCCCGTCACAAAAGGCCAAACGTTGTGTGATTCCATATATGAAATGTCCAGAATAGGCAAATCCATAAAAACAAAAAACAGATTACTAGTTACCAGGGACTGGCAGTGGGGGGAAAGGAGAGGATGGGGGGTGACTGCTAATGGGTATGGAGCTTCTCTTTGGTGTGATGAAAATATTCTAAAATTAATTACGATTATGATTGTACAACTCCATGAACATGCTAAATTAAATCACTGAATTGTATACTTAAAAAAAAAAAAAAAAAAAGAAAATTCTAAAGAAAGGAATCAGGTCTTATTTCCAGGGCTGAACAAAGAACCTTGGAAAGAGACATTCAACAAACCATATTCACAGAATGTGTTTATGAGAGAACAAAGAATAAACCAAGAGAGACTGTAAGGAGACTACAGGAGGGAATTCAATTTTCCAAAGTGTCTGGTTTAAATGGTTTGTTAATTTTGTAATTGATCAGGAGCTTCCAAATTACTTTTAGCAATGGCAGTATTTTTACCTAAGAGCTTCCAGAGAACTCCAATATTCAAGAGAGGAAAGTAGAGCTTCTCTGACTAAAAAGAGCAGCGCGAGTTCTGGGATCCCACCAGCTCACACTCAGAAATGACAACCATCAAGGCAGCTCCCTGGGAACCCTAATTTTAAAACCATTAATATCAATCATGCCTGGAAGAGATTTAAAAAGTTTAAAGACCTATGTCTTATGACCCTTAAAAAAATTCCACCTCACTTATGAGCAAGACTTGTATTAAAGTACATTTAGATTGTGTTGAAGCACTGACCTTATCCTGCTTAAGCTTCCACATTTTGATGAAACCATCACTCGATGCTGAAACAATAACATGATGCTCTGGAATTTCAAAACTGAACATGTCCTTTACCCTAGGATAGAAATATTAACACCATAAAAGATCTTTTCCTCCAAATAGTCTAATATTGTTATAAAATTACACACAAAGACTAGTGCTTTCTCAATGTTTCAAGTATTTCCAAACTGCTCAATGAATGGTGCCTTAAAATATAGCTATGCTTCGCATTCCCATTAATGAGATATATCCAGGCCCAAAAAACAAGATAAAATCCACTGCCAACCATATCTGAAGGAAAAGTTGAAAAGAAAACAGATAACTATAAATAATCAGGTTATCACAAAGGAACTAAAGATGAGTAAAACAAAGCCCATCACCTCAAGAAACTCCAAGTTCAGTAAGGAGAGAAAAGACAACAGAAACGATGAATCCAGGCCTCTCCCACACATCCATTTCCCTCATCTCCAGTCCCACCACTGTTAGTCTAAGCCACTCTCATTTTTCCTCTGGATCACAGAAGTAGCCTGATTGGCCTTTCTGCTTCTTTTTTGCCCCTTAACAATTTTCTTTTCTTTCTTTTTCTTTTTTTTTTTTTTGAGATGGAGCCTTGCTCTATCGCCCAGGCTGGAGTGCGGTGGTGGGATCTCGGCTATCTCAGCTAACCACAACCTCCGCCTCCTGGGTTCAAACGATTCTCCTGCCTCAGCCTCCCGAGTAGCTGGGATTACAGGCGTGCGCCACCATACCTGGCTAATTTTTGTATTTTTAGTAGAGACGGGGTTTCACCATGTTGGTCAGGCTGGTCTCAAACTCCTGACCTTGTGATCTGCCTACCTCAGCCTCCCAAAGTGCCAGGATTACAGGCATGAGCCACTGCACCTGGCCAGAAATTTTTAAAAATGTAAATCAAATCATGTAACTTGCAGGCTTAAAACCCTACAAAACTGGGATCTACTTTAAAATAAGATGGGAGAGGAAGAAGTGGCTGGGCATATAGATGAAGCAAAACTGGCCACACAGTGACAGTTGCTAAAGCTGATGGTGGGTCTTAAAGAGTTAGCACCTTAAACCAGTCTAAATGCTTTTAAATTTTTCCATAGTAAGAAAAATTATGATGATTACAGGCACCGATTGGCTTCCACCGTCTTCTCCTTGCTCATTCTCACCTAGTCACACAGGTCTTCTATCTGCTCCTAAAATACACCAAGCTCTGTTCTCCCTCAGGGTCTTTGCACCTGTGCCTCTCTCTTTTTAAAACTAACTCCTTTTTCATTCTTAAGGTCTCACATCTTCTTCCCTCATCATCCTATCTAAACCAATTACCCTTGTTAATCTTTAATCACTCTACTTTTCTATTTCCATCCTGTTATAATGATCTGCTTGCTTATAATCTATTGCCTCCTTATAATGTAAGAGCCATGAGAGCACAAGCTCCTGTCTTTTCTGTTCATCATTAAATACTTCGTGTAGTATTTCATAATGATGCTCAATGAATACTTGTTAAATGAATGAATGGCCAAATATCTTAAGTGTTATTAGTACATCTGGAATGGGCGACTTTGAAAAATATATTCACTTCCCAATATAGGAGAAGAGTAAGGCCTTTATACTACTGACTGCAGTACTCTAAGTATGGATTTCTTAAAACTTAACCACTGTTTAAGAAATAAGAATTAAGACTCATTTGAGACATAGAACATGCAAATGGATCACATCAAAATCTAACTCTGTATATTAGATCACCTTTTTCAAAATTACTGGAGAAAGCAGGGATATAAGAGTCAGATAAAACCGGGTTCAGCTCTCAGCTCCACTATTGGGGTAATATTGGCCAACCACTTAACTACTTACTTTGAGACTATCTACCCCCTAGAAATAGAGAAAGCATTAAAAGGTAATAAAAGCTGGCACAAAACAGGAACTCAATAACGTCAATTCACTTCTCCTGCAGGAAAAAAAATCACATGGAAAGGGGGAAGAAGTAGGCAAGGGGACTTATGTAAAAGGACAAAAGTAGATGGGAACAAAGCTCAAGATTGTTTAGTCTTTTGTTTGTTCAAATATGCTTGATTTCAGGCTCCAAGTCTAACAGACATTTAAAAAATACCTTGTGTAAATGACAGTCCAGAAAACAATTTCACCACTTTTGCATTATTATTATTATTTTTTTTGAGACAGAGTCTCACTCTGTCACCAGGTTGGAGTGCAGTGGTGCGATCTTGGCTCACTGCAACCTCCGCCTCCAGGGTTCAAGTGATTCTCCTGCCTCACCCTCTCGAGTAACTGGGACTACCAGCGTGCACCACCACACCAATTTTTTTATTTTTAGTAGAGACGGGGTTTCACCATGTTGGCCAGGATGGTCTTGATCTCTTGACCTCCTGATCCGCCCGCCTCAGCCTCCCAAAGTGTTGGGATTACAGGCGTGAGCTACTGCTCCCGGCCCACTTTTGCATTATTAAATGCCAGGAAGATAACATCTTCCACCACCTTATTAGACTACAGATACCATATACTGTACATGTAGATATGTCTGATTATTTCTGCAGTTGTTAATAAAAACATATAACCTGGCTTATGAAACTACTGCATATATACCTTTTATTAAGACTAGACATATACACCAAAGATTGGTAAAAATACCTGTTTTCATGAGCTTTAAATTCGCAGAGGCACACTAGTGAATCACAGTCAAAAAACCTTATAACTTCTTCATCTCCAGCCACTGCAAGGACAGACTCCTAGGAGAGAGGAAAAAGAGTAATAACATCCAGAATGTCATCAACAGTTCCAACCATCACCACAAACTTTGGTCAATGATTTCTGATTACTTACTGAAAGAAATTTAACAGAGGAAATTCTCTTTTCATTTGTGATGGTGCCACTAATGGATGCAGTGTCAAGCTGATAGATGTCTATTTTATTCTGTATGATAACTACATACTGCTCTCCTCTTGGGGACCATTCTACTATGTGAGCATCTGTAAGTGGAAAAAAACGAAGTTTATTTATTTTGTAAATAAAACATAAAATGATCATAGTAATAAAAATAGCAAATATTTATACTGTGCATTTTCAAATTCATTATCCTATTTCATCTTCGTAACACATTTTACAAGTCAAGTTTTTTAGAAAATAATCTAGGTTCAAAAAGTCAAAGGTGGGCCAGGTGCAGTGGCTCACACCTGTAATGCCAGCACTTTGGGAGGCCAAGGTGGGTGGATCACTTAAGGCCAGGAGTTTGAGACCAGCCTGGCAAACATGGTGAAACCCCATCTCTCTACCAAAAAATACAAAAAATTAGCCAAGCATGGTGGCACGCGCCTGTAATCCCAGCTGCTTGGGAGGGTGAGGCAGGAGAATAACGAACTCAGAAGGCAGAGGTTGTAGGGAGCTGAGATAGCGCCACTGCACTCCAGCCTGGGTGATAGAGCGAGACTCCATCTCAAAAAATAAAATAAAATAAAAAATATAAAATAAAATAAAATGAAACAAAATAAAAATCAAAGGCAGGTGGCAGAGCCACAAAAAGAATCTAGTCTAAAATGGGAAAAGAAAGTAACCCAAGGCATTTGCTCAGAGGTAACCACCACCATGCAGGGAAATAAATGTGTAACATACACACATGTAAAAATGTATATCTATATTCATATTCCATTAAGTCACTGTAAAATATACAGGTTGAGTATCCCTTATCCAAAATGCTTGGGACCAGAACGATTTTGGATTTTGGAATATCTGCATATATACAATGAAATATCTCGAGGATAAAACCCATGCAACTCATGTTTCAAGTCTAAACATGAAATTCATCTATGCTTCATATACACCTAGCCGGAAGGTAATTTTACACAATATTTTAAATAATTTTGTGTATGAAACAAGGTTCTGACTGTGACCCATCATGAGGTAAGGTGTTGAATTTTCTACTTGAGGCACCACATCAGTGCTCAAAAAGTTTCAGATTTTGGAGCATTTCAGATTTCCAGATTAGGAATGCTCAACCTGCATTTCAAACAAAAATACTCACTTTGTTTTATATTTTTTATGAATGCTGATCTTCCTTCTACAAGATTCCACGTTCTGCAAAACAGGAAGCTCACTTACGGTGTGATCACCAACTAACTTTTACTAAGCGTAAAAGAACAAGCATAATGAAGACTTAAGTGACATTTTACTAAATATTGGCTATTTAGAAGACCTGCTATCTTCCTTACAGCAATATTTTGAAATATTATGAGGCAGGATTAAGACTTGCTTCATTCCCATATCCCTTTAACATCTCGTATCCATTGTATTTTCAAAAGGTTTCCCTTTCTAAAATCTTCAATTCACAGCTATGATGACTGCAGCATAATTGCATGTTTGAAAACGGAGCTTGTTGGCTGGGCGTGGTGGCTCACGCCTGTAATCCCAGCACTTTCGGAGGCTGAGGCGGGCGGATCATGAGGTCAGGAGATCAAGACCATCCTGGCTAACACGGTGAAACCCCGTCTCTACTAAAAATACAAAAAATAGCCGGGCGTGGTGGTGGGCGCCTGTAGTTCCAGCTACTTGGGAGGCTGAGGCAGGAGAATGGCATGAACCTGGGAGGCGGAGCTTGCAGTGAGCCAAGATCACGCCGCCGCACTCCAGCCTGGGCGACAGAGCAGGGAGACAGAGCGAGACTCTGTCTCAAAAAAAAAAGAAAGAAAACAGAGCTTGTCATTTTCATTCTACCACTATGAACCACTATGAAAAGGTTCACCAGCTTTTGACCTTTCCCTTGTATAACAGTATTTTTAGATGGTGGAGAGCTGTAGTAAAACACACACCTTAGATAAATGCTCTTGAGCATTAATGACTTACCTTAAAGTTTTATCTGTACCAACCGACAGGGCCAACTTGCCAGATGGGTGAATAGAAAGGAAGGTCACCTGTCCTCTATAATGAAACCAAAAGTTAGTCCCCAACTTGACTGGCACATCGAGAATGCCAAAGGGAAAGAGCCCGACTCACTTGTGAGCTTTAATTGACTTCAGGCATTCCCATTTCTTTGCATCCCAGATACAGATGAGTCCATCTTCCGCTCCACTGATTAAATGCCTGTTGCCATAGAATTTCAGGCAAGTTATTGTACCTATGGAAAAACCAAAATAGGCAAAAATAATATTCATTTTAAATGCAAACTCCATTTCTGATTTGAAGGCTATGCTATGCTAAGTAAAACACTCAATACCTTTTTTTCTTTTTCTTTTTTTTTTTTTTGAGGCAGGGTTTCACTCTTGTTACCCAGGCTGAAGTGCTATGGCATGATCTTATCCCACTGCAACCTCTGCCTCCTGGGTTCAAGCAATCTTCCCACCTCAGCCTCCTGAGTAACTGGGACTACAGGTGCACATCAATATACCTAGCTAATTTTTGTATTTTTTGTAGATACAGTGTTTCACCATGCCATGTTGCCCAGGCTGGTCTTGAACTCCTGGGCCCAAGTGATCTGCCCACCTCAGCCTCCCAAAGTGCTGGGATTACAGGTGTGAGCCACTGTGCCTGGCCTCAATGTCTTAATATTACTAAAACATACCTTAAATTTTTTCATGTAAGTACAGTTGTTCAAATCTATGCAAATATTTTCAGCAGAGTATCTCCAGTTTAGATACAGATTTGAACAAATCAGTTCACGTCCTTGCTTTATGTCTTCAAATTATAAATTTAGGAGGTGGCTGGCTAGGATAGTTTGAGCAGAAGTAAACAAAACTAATCAGCTAACAAGCTAATCTGGGGAACAAACCAGGTGTACTGCCACATGACTTCCACTTTCTAAACAGTGAATTAGCTACCCAATCAGCCACAATCCAATCCTTATCACTCAGATCTGTTTTGATCCATTTCCACACACTTCTCATTCATTTGTTCATATTTTCCTCTCCCTATTATCCTATTTCTCACTTTGGAAAGTTTGGTTTCCCACATTTGCTTCCCTAGAAAAAAGCTTATCTATTAGCAACTCTTAGAAAAATAGGATTTATGCACCCATAAAAAGGAATGAGATCATGTCCTTTGCAGGGATGTGGATGGAGTTGGAAGCCATTATCCCCAGCAAACTAATGCAGGAAGAGAAAATTAAACACTGGCTAGGCGAGGTGGCTCATGCCTGTAATCCCAGCACTTTGGGAGACCGAGACAGGCAGATCACTTGAGGTCAGGAGTTCAATACCAGCCTGGCCAACATGGCGAAACCCCGTCTCTACTGAAAATACAAAAATTAGCTGGATGTGGTGGTGTGTGCCTGTAGTCCCAGCTACTCAGGAGGCTGAGGCACAAGAATCGCTTGAACCCGGGAGATGGAGGTTGCAGTGAGCCGAGCTCTGCCACTGCACTCCAGCCTGGGTGACAGAGAAAGACTGCATCTCAAAAAAGAAGGAAAGAAAGAAATAGAAAAGAAAAGAAAAAGAAAACCAAACACCACATGTTCTCACACAGGGGAAAAACAACACACACTGGGGCCTGTGGGAGGGGAAGGGTTGCGGGAAGGAGAGCATTAGAAAGAACAGCTAATGGATGCTGGGCTTAATACCTAGGTGATGGGATGATCTGTAAAGCAAACCACCATGGGACGTTTACCTACGTAACAAACCTGCACATCCTGCATGTGTACCCCTGAACTTAAAAGTTGAAGGAAAAAAAGAAAAAAGAAAAAAAGGATTTATACAAGAAATAAAGGAAACCAAGAAACCAAGAGCCCTACTTCATTCACCCCCCAATCTAAACTCCTTCTATGTAATTCCTTTTCTTATTGTTGAACACTTGTACTAATGGGTTTGGGCAGATCAAATTTAACTTATTTCTTCCAAACCTGAGAGAGAAGCCTTCTTTGTAACAAACTAGGACTAGGAGATAGAGAAAAAAAGAATGTATATTTGAATCACTCAAAGCTCAGCTTCTGATGAAGAGCAAGACAGCTGTTAAAGCAGCAATGGACAGTCTGCCATGTGTGAAAGTGTCCCCCAAAATTCATTTGCTGAAACTTAGTTGCCAATGTGATAGTTTAAGAGGTGAGACCTTTAGGAGGTGATGGTGACTAAGTCATAAGGGCAAACCCTCATGAACGGGATTAGAGGACTGGCGACATTATAAAAGTTGTTTTTTTTGGCAGGGCGCGGTGGCTCACGCCTGTAATCCCAGCACTTTGGGAGGCTGAGGCGGGCGGATCACTTGAGGTCAAGAGTTCAAGACCAGCTTGGCCAACATGGTTAGACCCGTCTCTACTAAAAATACAAAAATTAGCTGGGCGTGGTGGCAGGCACCTATAATCCAAGCTACCTGGGAGGCTGAGGCAGGAGAATCGCTTAAACCCAGGAGGCAGAAGCTGCAGTGAGCCGAGATCGCGCCACTGCACTCCAGCCTGGGTGACAGAGCGAGAAGCCCCCCCGCCCCCGCCAAAAAAAAAGTTGTTTTTTTCGTTTGTTTGTTTGCTTTTTTTAAACTGGCTCCAACTCTCAAGCTTGACCTTACAGAATTGTGCAGGGATCTGCTTTGCCCTTCTACCATGAGGACACAGCAACAGAGAGCCAGTCCTTACGAGACAAGAAAATCTGCTGGTGCCTTAATCTTAGACTTCCCAGCCTCTACAACTGTGAGAAATAAATCTCTATTATTGATAAATTATTCAGTCTAAGGTATTTTGTTATAGCAGTCTGAATAAACTAAGGGAACACCTAATAGAAGGAAGCCATTTATCGCTGCAAATTTACTGCTGGAAACCAATGCCTGGTGTGGATCCTCTGAAATACATGTAAGATTGGGTAGGAAAAAGGGCACCATTTTATCTGCCTTTCTTTGCAGAAAACCAACTTTCTTGGCTGAGTTACTCCTCATTCTCTGTCCCCTGGGAAAATGCAACAAAAACAGCATAAAATGTTTGGTACTGAAGAAAAAAATTTACCTGTTCAGTCTTTCTCTCCCTTGATTCTGCCACTATCCTGGGTACCTTGACCACCAGTGTGGAAAACCAAACCACAAGCCGGGAACTGTAGTACTACTTCTTGACTTCAACTCCAGTGACCTTTGCCTCCCCTGCATTTCAGTCCCCTACACCCACAGCCTGGGCATCGTTACCACATAGAGCTGTTCCACGTTAGAACTCTTGACCTCTAGGAAGCTATTTGCTGACCACAAGCTCACATCTTCCCATCCCTTTCATGCCTCTCTGCACTCACACTCCACCTGCTTTTGTATTTCAGAGATCTCCAGGCCCTTGACAACACATTTTCTTTTCTTTTCCTCTTTTTTTTTTTTTTTTTTTTTTGAGACAGAGTCTCGCTCTGTCGCCTAGGCTAGAGTGCAGTGGCACAGTCTCAGCTCACTGCACACTCTGCCTCCCCAGGTTCAAGCGATTCTCCTGCCTCAGCCTCCTAAGTAGCTGGGACTACAGGTACGTGCCACCATGCCCAGCTAAGGTTATGTATTTTTCGTAGAGACGGGGTTTCTCCTTGTTAGCCAGGATGGTCTCAATCTCCTGACCTCACGCTCGGCCCACCTCGGCCTCCCAAAGTGCTGGGATTACAGGCGCGAGCCACCGCGCCTGGCCTTTGACAACACATTTTCTCTATGTTGACAACCTAATCCACTCCTTCACCAAAATTCTTAATTCTCTTGTAACTCAATCCTTCTACCGCACACACCAAGTAACCTTCCTCTCTCTAGGGAAATGTCTGTGGCTTATTACTGAATAAACTCAGAAAATCTTGCAAACTGATGTTACTCAATCCGTAGCTGCCAATTCCAATGGGGCAGGCCTTCATCAGTCCTTCTGTTGGGGTTCTCAGTCAGCACCCCTCCGATACAAACTGGCAGTACTTTCCTCAAGCCCACATCATTCATTTGCTAGCTTGCTCCCTCCCTCCCTCCCAATTCAGTCTCTAACTGGCTCTCTCAAGGACTCCAGGATCTGGTCCCATCTACTTCTCTAGCCCCTCAAACTCCCAATTTAACCTTCTCATAATCCGGAACTGCTTACGGTTCCCTATGAACACCAGTGGTCAAAAGCATGGGCTCTAGGCCCAGGTTCAAGTTCTAGTTCCAGTGTTTGAGACCTTCGGCAAGTCAAGTAACATCTTTGAAACTAGGTGTTCTCTTCTACTTTCTTGGCACACAGAGGGGTACATAATATGCCCTCAATAAAGTCAGATATTGCTATGACGCTACATCTTTGAAACTAGGTGTTCTCTTCTACTTTCTTGGCACACAGAGGGGTACATAATATGCCCTCAATAAAGTCAGATATTGCTGTGACGCTACATCTTTGAAACTAGGTGTTCTCTTCTACTTTCTTGGCACACAGAGGGGTACATAATATGCCCTCAATAAAGTCAGATATTGCTATGATGCTACTACTTGTGCTCCTCACACTGCCGGCTCTGCCTGGAATGTCCTTTCTCCCTCCTTGCAAACTTTACCTGCCCAATAACTGACATTTCTCTTTTAAGATAATTCAGATGTCATTTTAAGGAAGGTTTCAGTGAAAACCTCACTCTGACTGGGTTAAATGCCTCCTTTCTGTCTCCCAATACAGACCGTAAGCCAACCCAGAGCAAGAAACCTTTTTTTTTTTTTTTTGAGACAGAGTCTCACTCTGTTGCCCAGGCTGGCATGCAGTGGCGTGATCTCAGCTTACTGCAATCTCTGCCTCACGGGTTCAAACGATTCCCCTGCCTCCGCCTCCCGAGTAGCTGTGACTACAGGTGTGTGCCACCACACCTGGCTAATTTTTTTTGTATTTTAGTAGAGACAGGTCTGGTCTCCAGCTACTGACCTCAGGTGATCCACCCACCTCAGCCTCCCAAAGTGCTGGGATTACAGGTGTGAGCCATTGTGCCAGGCTAAGAAACCATTTTTTTTTAAAATTCCTCTATCTTCTAGCAAAGAATCTGCTATAAAATAGATACAACAAATTGTTCAACTGAAGTCAAATTGTAAAGAAAACCTCTATGTTCTCATCTTAAGGGATACAATTTTCTTACCACTGTGATGCACTAGAGCCCCATGCTCAATCTTCTTTTTCATGTCATAAATGTGAATTGTTTCATCTTTGCTCCCAGTGACCACAAAACGACTATTTACAGCTACTGCTGACAAGGAGGCAGTGTGAGCATGGTGAGTGAAGTCAGCCACAAGAGTCCATTGCTGCTGAAGATGAAAACATACAATTAATGCCAGTCACACCACAGTTCTACCAACTCTATCCACTGGTAGTTTTCATGAATCACGGAACCATTTATCTGTTTCTGAAAAGATAAATCATTCCACGATTCATGAAAACTATCAATGGATCCTATAAATGGAAAAATGATATGTTAAACTACAAAATGACATGTAGTTTACCACAAAGGACTTGAGACTTGATGAGGAAGGTAAAGCAAGGAGGTGGGCAGGCAACACTGGGTATCATCACTCTAGAACACAGTAATGGAGACTGGACTAAGGAAGACTTTTAGATCCTACACAAATCTTTAACTCTTTAGTGTATTTACTTTATATGTGAGACTTAATTTATTTTTTCAGATATTCACATTTTTATTTGAATTTATTCTTTCAAATAATGAGTGCCTACTATGTGTCTGGCACTATTCCAAGCAGTTGATACACAGCAATGAACTGCGATTCTCCCACCTAAGCCTCCTGAGTAGCTGGGATTACAAGCACTTGCCATCATGCCCAGCTAATTTTGGTAGAGACAGGGTTTCACCACATTGGCCAGGCTGGTCTTGAACCCCTGACCTCAGGTGATCCACCTGCCTCGCCCTCCCAAAGTGCTGGGATTGCAGGCATGAGCCACCGCGCCCAGTGGACAAGTCTTATAAAGAAAAACCAACAGAGTAAAGGTATGTTTCCATGAGTACCAACGTAAGCTCTAGAGAATCACCAATAACGAAATCTCAGGAACTCTGTGCTTATTGCCATGTGACAATAGCATTAGGAAGTCTGATTGGATGAGTGCGAAGCATGACAGCAAAATACACAGACACACACACACACTCACTCACTCCTTAAACTGAAGGAACTGCATCAAAAAGTATTTGCAAAACAAACCGAAAAAGAAAAAAACCCATCAAACTTCTTTGAACATGTGTTACTGCAAATCAGGTCCTTAGTTACAGAAGATACTCCTTCCATCATTTAAGACCAAGGGGGCCTCCTTTGAATCAAGCATTTTTGCGGGTCTGCTATGGCCTTAAATCAAATAATAACCTTTTAAAATTCACATAATGTAGGTTATCTAGGCTATTGCTTAGATTTAGTAGAAGTATAGGGTAATGGTTAAGAGTTTCAAATGTCAGAGACCCTCGGGGGCTCCTGACATTTTGGGGTCAGCTGTGTCAATTATTATCTGTGTGTCCTTCAGCAGTCACTTAACCTATCTAGGACCAACATTTTGGTACTTCATCTGCAAAACGAGAATAACTGCATCCTCCTCAGAGGGTTGCTGTGAGGACTACTGTGTGTCTGGAACACAGTTAAGTAATTTCACTACAAAAAAAAAAAATTAAATAGCATCATCTTTGACTATTCAAAACACATCACTTTTCAGCCAAAGACAAAGAGCAAATAACTGGAGTAGGAAACAAAATAAACGAAAGCAATAGGCCAAGTGATATACTTCCAAATTTTCTGGATAATTAAAGACCGACGCCTTGACTTCATAAAGAAGTACTGTACTCAATTTTCTAGAAAATGCTTAGAATTGCTTCAAGAATAAAAGTGAGCTAGATGTTAGGAGGTCGGATTCCTAGTCGTGAGTATAGTCCTATCTACCTATTTGACTACTGATAATTTATTTGACCTTTTTATCTATTCACACATCTAGTAATATCATATTCTGCTGTAATTTCTCTCCATCTATGCGTCTCCTCAGTCCTCCACCCCTTATGTAGGCAACGTCTCTAAGGCAAGATCCATACCTCCAGCATCTTTGCATCTCCACCGCCCAGCTCGCCATAAGTTCCCAACAAATAATGAATTGGTATCGCTTTACCTATAAGGGATTTATCCTAATCTAGTTCTAGTAATTTGTAAAATTCCAGGGCAGAAATTCAGCAAAAGAGCGAGATCTTCTTTCATTAAATTCTGAATACTGTCAACTTATGGGATCGATCCTTAAATCCACAATCTACGACTCATTTGTCCGTATGCAGAAATGCCGGTTTCCTTTGTGTCCCGTGGACCTTTTGTCTACTAGAAAAGGCAGATATTGCCTCATTTTGATAAAATGTCCATTCTACGGTTTAAAAGGTTAGCTTTTCTCTTAAGTCTCTTAGGTTTGATTCATCAAATCATCCAGTGAACAGCAGGCGCTCCAATGTTCACCTCTGCTGTGTAGGAACCAAACCCGACCTTCCCGGCCCCGCCTCCGACTGTCTCTAACTACGCGGTATCTCACCTCGTGGTCGCCGCAAGCCTCGGGCTCCGGGTGTACAGCGAACCCAAAGAGGACCTGCTCGTAGCAACCAGCGACCAGCTCCATTCAGCAGCGCACGTGCCTCTTCCGCCAGCCCGGCTCAGCCTGGAGGTGACAGAACCGGAAACCAAAAAAAAAAAAAAAAAAACACCTGACTCCTTTCTGCATCGGCGCTCGAATTATACGTCAGGCTCCAGGGCTGCCTTTAAGTCGCCTGTAACGTGGAAACACTTTAAGCGCGGGGAGGTCACATGGATTTTCCAAGAAGAGAATAAGTAAAGATGCCACATGAGGAGGTTCTCACTGCAAGGAGAAAAAAATCGGGGGCAAGCAGGCATATCTCAGGAAGGTGCCAGCTACGCCCGTCTGAAGGGAGCGGGCGGGACATCCTCTGCGAAGCCCTTCATTTCCGTGACATCAGGAGGAGGTGGGGCCGACTTCCGGCCGGTTGCTTAGGGGCTGTAGCGCCGGCAGCGTGCATTGTTGTGGGCTGTGTACTAGTAGGGTAGGAGTTTTTGTTCAGGGACCAGCGGAACGAGGCTTTCTGTCGTTAATAGGGTAAGGAGGGGTGGGATTAGGGTTCGCGGTGACTTGTTCCAGCGGCGCAGCGCTCGCGCTGCCTTGACGGACTCGGAGTGCTAGATGTGTCCGCGTTCCCGTCTGCCCGGGCCAGAACCCCAGCCCTGCACACTTTCTCTGTCTGCTTGTCTAACTCTGGGGCTGTATTGGCCAAGGTTGCGGCACCTCCTGGGGAGGGAGCAGTGAGCCTTCATTTTTTTTTTTTTTTTTTTGAGACGGAGTTTCGCTCTTTTTGCCCAGGCTGGAGTCCGGTGGCGCGATTTCGGCTCACCGCAACCTCTGCCTCCCGGGTTCAAGCAATTCTCCTGCCTCAGCCTCCCGAGTAGCTGGGATTACAGGCATACGCCACCACGCCTGGCTAATTTTGTATTTTTTAGTAGAGACAGGGTTTCTCCATGTTGGCTAGGCTGGTTTTGAACTCCCGACCGCAGGTGATCCGCTTGCCTCGACCTCCCAAAGTTGCTGGGATTGCAGGCGTGAGCCACAGCGCCCGGCCAGAGCCTTCATTTGAGAGTTGGGAAAACAAAGTGAGCCTGAGCAACATATTTTGATGCCGTCTCTACAAAAATGTTATAAATTAGCCCAGCATGGCGACGCCCGCCTGTGGCCTCAGCAACTCGGAAGGCTGAGGTGGGAGGATTGCTTGAGCCCAGGAGGTCGAGGCTGCAGTGAGCCGAGATCGCTCCACTGCATTCCAGTCTGGGGGACGAGCCAGGCCCCCTTTCAAAGAAAAAAAAAGTTTTATTTAATAAGGTTTAGAGATTCAGGTATGTCTTAGACATTACAGCTTTCCTACAAGCTCCCAACAGAGTAAATCTTGGTTCGTATAGTTCTCATAAACACCGTAGTAGGTCATTTGGTAAACAAGATGCATAGTCCATCCTTCTCAAATCTTCAGCCTCCATTTCAAGTGCGATACAGTGCTTCAGCGCTTAGACCCTTTTGTTTCCAATAACTTTTCTTCTCTGGTGTTCTGAATTGTTAGTACGTGTTAATAGAGGCTAGTTTGGGTCTTGCAGAAATGATTTCATTTGGGATGCTTTGGTTGTCACTGCAGTGCAGAAAAGACCTTGTTATTGTTAGAAATAGATAATTGGTGACACGAAGAAAAGTCAGCATGGAGACAAAAGATCTCTCAGCAAGGCAATTTTTACTTTATGCAGAAAGGGTGCTCAATTGCAGATGGAACGATGGTGAGAGCACTCCTGAACAAAGGAAAAGCAGACATATTTGTCCCTTACGCCTTTGGGTTGTCCTTACTGCTGTGTCCTGCATCCGTTGGCTGGGGCTGGACCTCATAATCTTAAACTGATACCCGATTTGCTAAACAGGCTGTGAGCTGGAACGTGCCTGGGCCTGTGAGCATGTCCCGCAGTTACATACAATAGGGCTTAACAGAGTTATTAGCACAAAGCAAGGAGGCTTGAAGTAAGTTAGTCTTTAAAAGAAACTATTGTTTCTAACATTTATGATTTATTCTTTAACAAGAAGGGAAACTTTGAAGAGGCAACTTTTTACTTTCTACGTCATCTGCCAGCTTTGTCCACGCCAAATGTAAACACTTCTCAAGACACTGAAATGCTGTTGACAAACTAATTCTCAGTCTAGTGGAAATCCTTGTATTCATTCACTCTTCCAAAATCTTTCTTGGCTGGGCACGGTGGCTCACTCCTGTAATCCCAGCACTTTGCGAGGCCTAGGCAGGCGGATTGCTTGAGGTCAGGACTCTGTCTCAAAAAATAAAATAAAATGGCCAGACGCAGTGGCTCACGCATGCCTGTAATCCCAGCACTTTGACGAGATCAAGAGATCGAGACCATCCTGGCCAACATGGTGAAACCCCGTCTCTACTAAAAATACAAAAATTAGCTGGGTGTGGTGGTGGGCGCCTATAGTCCCAGCTACTCGGGAGGGTGAGGCGGGAGAATCGCTTGAATTAGGGAGGTGGAGATTGCAGTGAGCCGAGATCCCGCCACTGCACTCCAGCGTGGGCAAGAGTGAGACTGTCTCAAAAAAAAAGTCATTCTTTCTTTACTTTGTGCTAGTTATCTTCATTGTGTTACAAAAAATCAAATTATTTTAGGATTTAGAATAGATTACTTTTTTTGTAATGTGTAAGTTTCCACCAGAGAACCACTAAGATTAGAGGAGTGTGAAGTAAGTGTCCTCTGGACGTGAGACAAGGTATTAGTAAGCAGGACATTGTAAGTTTCACATTTTATCTTTAAAAATGTGCCTTTATGCATTTTACTCCACAACATATCTGTTTATTTTAATGCAAAAGTGTTACACCCTCATCCACAAATTAAAAACCGCTAAAACTTTCAAAATCATGCTTTGTATATTCTGTTACTTCTGGAATGTCCCTGGTGCCCTGTCTCCTTACCCCAGGGACATCTCAACTGCTGTTTGAGAAGTATTAATACTTGTTTAATACACTTTTTAAAATAAATTTTAGCTTATCACCATAAAAAGGTGATTATTTAGAATCTGTTACCAGACTGTCACACTTTTACTTGCTTAAGTAACTTTTGTTCCAACCAGGAATTTTAGAATATAGTTGGTTCTAGAATGGAAACCATGGTGTAAGCACCATGAACATAACTCAAAGTGGTTTTACTTTAAAAAGAAAAAAAAACCCCAAAACTTAGAAATCAGTGGAACCAATTACAGAGCTCAGAGGACTTAGACAACATCTAGTCCAGGTGTTACTAATCTGGGGGTTCCTGGATAAATTTCAGGGGTTTTGAATCCCATGAAATTATATGCAAATATGTGGATATACATTTTTGGAGGAGAGCATTAGGATTTTAAGGGAGGGAGACCACCCCTCATATTGTCTTATGCCCAATTTCTGCCTCCAAAGAAGAAGTAAAAACTAAAAGGCAGAAATGAAATCCACAAGCAGACAGCTCGGCACCACACTCTGGGCCTGGTAAAGATCGACCCCTGACCTAATCGGTTATGTTATCTGTAGATTAGAGACATTGTATAGAAAAGCACTGTGAAAATCCCTGTCCTGTTCTGTTCCGTTCTAATTACCGGTGCATGCAGCCCCCCAGTCATGTACCCCCGCTTGCTCAGTCAATCACGACCCTCTCACACGGACCTCCTTAGAGTTGTAAGCCCTTAAAAGGGACAGGAATTACTCACTTGGGGAGCTTGGTTGTTGGAGACGTGAGTCTTGCCGAAGATCCCGGCCGAATAAAGCCCTTCTTTCTTAAACTCGCTGGCTGAGGGGTTTTGTCTGCGGCTTGTCCTGCTACAATTTAAGTACTGTTTCAAAAAGATTAGTGTAAGCGTACCTCATTAAGGGTAAAATGCAGTGATTCAGTCTTAGGTTATAAATGCTGAGATATGTCTGGAGAAGTGACTTTTTCAAGAACACACAGCTAAATAACAGAGCCAGCAATGCTGCTCTTTTTTATGTGTCCTCGGCCTTGAACATTCTCTTTAACAGAGAGGAAAGCAGCAGCATTTCATTTTATGCATGGCTGTGGCAGTAGTTTCAGGTCTTAGATTGCGGATTTTCATTGTCTGAAGAAAGACAAAAGAGAATTATATACCTGTTTAACTGGATTGGAACTGAGCATAACTTCCTGTAAATCCTCCTATTCTCTTTCCAAATACAGGATGTAAAAAGCCATTTAATCTCATTCTTGTGAAATCTGCAGCTGCCAAGAAACAACCAATGTTGAGAGTTCATTAAACACTAAAGCACGAGAGGATATTGTTTTGTAGCTTTGCTTTTAAATTATTGATTGAAAAGGTTTTTGCTCTTGAGCTATGCTCTGATTTATTCATTCATTCAACAAATATTTGTTGAGTGCTTAGCTTCGGTTTGTTAAAGTAAAAGCTAGTTTTTCTTCTTGGGTGGTTGAGGGTGGTAAAGTGGATATCCTGGGGTACAAGCAGGACACAGTAGAGAAAAATCAGCCCTGTTAGAAATATGAGAGTCTCATATTCCTGCTGAATTCTCCTCTTTCTCAATGTGACAGGCAGCAACTCTGTTAAATTCAAGGACTATGGAGGTTGCACGTGAATGTATTCCTGGGGGTTTTGGTCTCCTTTGTATTTCCAGCACGAAGGGAAGTGGAGATAATGCTGTACGTGCCCTGAACCTGTCCAGTAGTGTGCCCCAATAGAAATTTGCTTCACCTGATTCATGGGAGTAATCTAGTTGAAACAGAAGGTTTGCATTTGGGGCTTTTAGTGAGCAAAACAGCGCTTGTGAGCCCTTGTCACTGTCATCTCCAAGGCCTAAGTGCCCATCTTTACCCTGGGATCTTGCTTACAACCTTCTGTTCCACAGCTGCTGCCATCTTCCTAGGTGGTTGCAACATGATTACATTGACCTCTCTCTTCCTCAGCCTCCTTAGCACCTCCTCAATGTTCAACTTCCACGTTGCTTTCCAACTGCAGCCTCAATGCTTACCTGGTTATAGCCATAATTGTGATTTTCTTTGTGTAAAATAAAGTCAGTCCTAAAGTGAGAGAAAAAAAATTTTACAGGAAAAGAATCTTTAACTGACATGTTTTATTGGCTGTCTAAACTACAGTAGTTAGGAATTGTGTTTTACCTGACATAACAATAGTGGTCTAAACAAGACATTAAGTAAACCAGCGGTAGGCCAGTCTAGTGCTAGTGGAAGGAGTCCTTAGTCATTGGTGACCTAGACTCATTCTGTCTTGGATCCCAGTATTCTTCTGCATGATGCCTTCCTGGATGTCACCTCATAGTCCAAGATAGCTGCAGAGTTATTCTGACACCAGCCGTCATATTTGTAATCCCAGCACCAGACCCTCCAGCTAAGCAAATACCCTTTTCCCACACAGCTTTCCCCTATCCCCTTCTACTAGTTCTGTTTACATCTTCTTAGCCAGACTGACCACCTGGCCACATCTTGCTGCAAGGGAGAAGCTAGGAAATGTAGTCTTTTAGCTTGGGCCTATTGCTAGCCCAAGTGAAATCAGAATTGTTATTAAGGAAGAAAATAAACCAATATTGGGTGGCACTTAACAATGTCTGCCACAGTTGCTAATCAATAAAATCTCCCTTGAAGACATGAGGAAATCCACTCTCTATAAACTCCAGTACATCACCAATGCCAGTTACCCTGCCTTGCGGATACCATCGGCCCTCAGCGTCTGTGGGTTCTGCATCCCTGGATGCAACCAGTCGTGGACTGAAAATACTTGGGAGGCCGGGCACGGTGGCTCACGCCTGTAATCCCAGAACTTTGGGAGGCTAAGGCGAGCGGATCTCCTGAGGTCAGAAGTTTTGAGACCAGCCTGGCCAACATGGTGAAAATCCGTCTCTACTAAAAATTAGCCAGGCGTGGTGGTGGGCACCTGTAATCCCAGCTACTGGGGAGGCTGAGGCAGGAGAATCACTTGCACCTGGGAGGCACAGGTTGCAGTGAGGAGAGATCATGCCACTGCCCTCCAGCCTGGGCAATGTGGTGAAACCCTGTCTCTACTAAAAATACAAACATTAGCCAGGCGTGGTGCCAGATGCCTGTAATCCCAGCTACTGGGGAGGTTGAGGCAGCAGAATCACTTGAACCTGGGAGGTGGAGGTTGCAGTGAGCCAAGATCATGCCACTGTACTCCAGCCTGGGTGACAGAGGGAGACTCCATCTCAAAAACAAAACAAAACAAAAAACCCCAAAACTCCAAAAAGTTTCAAAAAGTAAAACTTGAATTTGCCACATGCTGGATACTACTGGTGAACCCACATGAAGTAATACATAGCCATTGTATTAGGTATTATAAGTAATCCAGACAGAATTTAAGGTTTATGGGAGGGTGTGTGTAGGTTCTTTGCAAATACTACACCATTTTATACTTGGGCATCCAAGGATTTTGGTATCTGAGGGGGATCCTGTAAACAATCTCCCATGGATACTCAGGGATGAGTATAGTAATGGCTCAATAACTGGTGAATGATTGAATGATCCGAATGTTTTGAATTCATCATGTTTGCTATTTTTCGCATTACAGGTAAATAGTAAATACATTAAGAACTTAGTTATTAGCAAGCTGCAGGGAAATGGCCAAACCCTAAGTGCCCCATATGGACTTAAAAGTTATCCTGAATTTTGACACTGTGTAACCTTGCTACTTCAAGTGGCGGGAGCTGGCTAATAAAGGCAGAATCTGAGGCTCCACTCCAAATCTGTCAAGTTAGAGAACCTACATTTTAAACAAGTCCAGGTCATTTGAATGCACATCGAAGTTTGGGAAGTTTTATGCTTTTTTTAAAAAAAAAAACTGAACCAGAGAAATATTTCTTTAAAATTGTATCCTGTACTCTCATTAATGTAGAGCGTAAGAGAAGAGGAGAGAAGGGAAGGGGGCGAGGGAGCGCGTTCTTCTCTGCCTCTTAATTTTGCAGGTAGTTGGATGATGCTTTCAACCTGCGTGGAATTAAAAAAAGAAAAAGCCAGCAGGTGCTAGTTCCAATAGTTATTCTCAGCAGGTAACAGAGGAGAGAAATGTATTTGTCTTAAGGTTTTAGTTATTAGAGTTTCCTCTTTTACCTGTTATGGTAAGGGGTGGAGTGGAGACTATCCTTCATTGTCGACCAACATACCTACCCCTTCTGTCCCTCCCTGGGGTTCTGCTGGCTCCCGCTGCCTGACAGTTGGGAGAGAGGGGCTGGCAGGTGGAAGCCCGAGGAACAGATTGCAGAAGTTCCCCCAGGTGCCTCAGTACACCCCTCCCCCACCCACACCTTTGCCCCGTTGTCAGGAAAGTCAAGCAATTAATTGCCTAGCAGGAATTGCCACTAAATGTAATTATCTCAGATGTAGTTGCGAGACTTATTTGTCAGGATTGAGAGGTTTCAGCCCACAAGCTGGATTTTTGACGCAGGAATAAAAACTGGATTCTGCTCTCTTTTTGTAAAGTTTCTGGGTAAATGGCCCAACCAGAGAGTTCTGCAGATTTTGGCATAGCTCAACAAAATAACTATTACTGCTACTGGCAAAGGTGAGTGGTTTTCTCCTACTTTGAAAAGGAAAGCTGTTACTGTTCTATTTGCTACATAACTGTTGGTAACTTACAAACTATGGCTTTTTTTTTTTTAAAGTTCTGGGGTACATGTGCAGAACGTGCAGGTTTTTTACATAGGTATACACGTGCCATGGTGGTTTGCTGCACCCATCAACCCGTCATCTACATTAGGTATCAAACTATGGCTTTGAACATAGGTGTTCAGCTTACTGCAAACTTCCTGGAAAGAAGAAAGGGTTTGGGGGTTTGTGGATGATTCTGCGTTGGTTGTGATGATTGTCATTCCTGTAGTCTCCCCTCTGCTATTAGAGTGAAGCAGGAGTTCCAGCCCAGCCAGAGTTACCGCTATGGCAACTGGTATGCGCGACAGCACGGCTCTTACCTTCTTTCTGGCTACAGCTATGGCTGTGCAGTGGATGGAAATGGAAAGGACTGTTTTTCTGCGCATGAGACCCCTGAACACACAGCTGGAACTCTGGTTATGCCTAAGGTATCCCTTGCTAGAATGAATCTTGTGTCATTCGTGTGCCCAATAATAGTAAACATCACTTTCCTATCTTCACACATCTGTGTCCTGTCATCCAAATTCCCACAGACATGGCTTTTGCTACCTGTTTTAATACTAGAGAGTAAAGCTGATAGCCTAAGAAAAATGTTTGTATAGCTTTATTGAGGTATAATACACAAAAAGTCCCTGCACATGTTTAATTTATATGATTTGCTGAGTTTGGACGTGTATAAACTAGAAGTGTTCACTTGCAGATAATTTCCCATTCTCTTCTAGAAACAACACAAAAAGCTAATGAAGTCTTTTTCTAAATTCTTGCTGCTAAATTTTAGATTATCATAATTCGATAAATTTTACTCTTTAACACTATATAGGACAAAAGGTAGTTTTGGGGTTTGTTTTATAGCAGTTGGACATAAACACACTTTAAAAATATATTTTAATACTTTGAATTACTAAAGTGACATATTTCTCAAATCACACAAAGATGTATTGAAGTAAGGGAAAAGTTCCCCCCCACACACACCCCTCCTCCTTCCCCATTCCCTTCCCACTTAGAAGAAAGTACTGTGGAGTGGATCTATGTCTTCTAGATCTTTCTCCTGTACTCTTGCTAAATCAATGTGGTTCATCTTTCTGTTTTGGTGGTTAGGGGATGATTTGGGCAAGAACGAACTATGTAGTACATACTGGTTTGCTGTTTGCTTGCTTCTGCATAAGGAGACCTTTCTTTAAAAAATCGTCCACTTATGGTCTGGGCAAGATGGCTCACACATGTAGTCCCAGCTACTTGGGAGACTGAGGCGGGACGATCACTTGAGTCCGGGAGTTTGAGGCTGCAATGAGCCATGATTGTGCCATTGTACTCCAGCCTGAGCAACAGAGCGAGCGCAGTTAGATACATTGCGATTTTTAGCTCATCCCTTATCTGACATTTTAAATATTTTCAGGGCTTTAACAAACTTACCTATCTTCAAGCATTTGTCTGAGTGTTGCTTTTTTCCCCAAGAATATAATTCTGGATGTGGAAGGGCTGGATTAAAGGATATAACATTAAAAAATTTTAATAGCAAGTTACCTAAAGTCTGCATGAATTTACACTTTTCATTATTGTGGTGGGTGTTCTTGCTACTCTACATTTGTCTGTGTATGATTAGCCAATCTAATAGGGCAGGGAGGCATTTATCTATTATTGAGGGCAAATACCTCTTGAAATGTTTATTGCTATCTGTGTTCTGTGACTTTGATATCCTCTTTCTAATTTTTCTGTTGAGTTGTGTCCCTCTTGCTTGACTGCATAAGATATTCACATGTTAGAGAAATTAACACTTTGGAGTCTAAATGTTACGGACTTCCCCCACCCCAGCTTGTCTCCTAATATGCAGAGTGACACCATTTGTGTGATGATCTTTACCTTAAAATGAAAATTGAATTTTATATCTAGTCCCTTGGCTTTTAAAACTTACATTTGCTTTATATTATGATATTTCACTGCCCAAACTTTCATTTTCAATTTTTCTCAAGTCTGTTTTAGGTGTGCCTCTTATATAAAATATCTTGTTAGATTTCTTGTCATTTTTTCCCCCTTTTAGCCCAATTTGGGTTTTTCCCTTTTAACAGATGTTTGATATTGCAGCACTTAAAAAAAAAATCTTTCACTACATTGCCTGTGGTTTTGGCACTCTTTTTTTTTTTTTTTTCTTTTGCCCCTTCTCTTTTTGCTCTTTTTTGGGAGACGGTCTGTCTTTTGGTGGTTACCCTTATATCTCTAAATAGAGAAGTATAGGAATTAGTATATTATCAACTTCAGAAACAAAAGTATTTCTTGATTTTTTCGTCACTCTTGAGAAAATTAAGAAATGAACATCCTTTTTTTCTCACCTGGCTACCCCTTCTCTCAATTCCTCTGTCCATTTTTGTTGGCACAGTCTGGGATTTTTATCTCACCCTCAGGCCGAATTATTACTATAACATGCATTTTTCATACAAGAATTATATAAATATGTTATCTTTTGTGGCTGTAGTGACCCCCTGTGCCATCTGCCTGCCATCCTGCTGGGTGTCCCCTGTTGGGAAGCTGCTGAGTGAAATTAAAGATGGTAAGCCTCTGTGGTGGCGCTCTTTTACTCCCACATCCCCATTTTGGTCTTCTCCAATAACGTGTGTCCTTGCCAAGATGTCCTAGTCATTCCCTGCTTCCCCCAATGTGCTGTGCCTCTGTCCATAACCTTTATCTCCCCAAGTTAAAGGGGTTACCCCCTCTCCAGCCCTCTCCTTTACATTTTCACGTTGTGGAGGTGGATGTCTCCAAAATGATTCTCGGGTCTTTGTGGTCCATCAGCACACCTTCCCAGACTATCTCTAGCTGAGGAAAGCCTTTTATAAATGTGCTTTTCTTTAAAGGCAGCCAGCTGCATACACAGCACAGGTGGCCCTCAGACCAGAGAGAATGCTCTGTCTCCAGATACTTCCTGCTTCCCTCATCCTGGTTATTTAGCATCCACATTTACCAGAACACACACTGAAAGGAGGAAATGTGTGGTTACTCAAGTCTTGTATTATGGGAAAGGAACTTATGGAAGTGTGGATTCTGGGTGTCTTTGCCATTTCTTTCTTTTCTTTTTATATAATTAGCTTTTAGAGATGATGTCTTGCTCTTTTGCCCAGGCTGGAGTGCAGTGGTGCCATCATAACTCACTGCAGTCTTGATCTCCTGGGTTCAAGTGGTCCTCCTGCTCCAGCCTTCCAAGTAGCTGAGACTACCGGCTGCATGCCACCATGCCTGCGGTCTTAGCCGTATCTAAATAGAAAAAAGACAGATTGTCTTTTGAAATTTATGGTAACTATATAACCTATTTTCCAAACCTCAGTATATTTCAGAGTGAAGGGGAGGCATACTTTCAGATAGACTGAAAAGAAAAGATAGTAGATCTTTGGCTCTCAGTATCTTCTCATTCTTATTAGCAAGGGAAGCTTAATTAAGTGCCAGGAGCTACATCAGCCCTTTCTTGATAGTGATTCCTTGGAATAGCTGGCCATACTTAAAAAGACAGGTTCCCAACAGGTCTACATAGAAGAATCATAAAAACGTATGCTGCCCCAGTAGAGCCAACAGGGTCTGGGTTAACCAACCAAGATTTACTTTGGGAGTACCTCTGCAGTTTACTTCTCTCATTATGTAAGGATATGATTGGTTTGCTTTGCTGTAGCCTCTGCATTTTCTTGAGCACCTAATATCCTGGTTCTTAGCTGAGTCACGGGTTTGAGGATGTGATTAGAAGGCCATGAGAAAAACGTGCTCATGGAGACTTAACAGATTGTCTTCTGGAAGGAGGAGCAGAACTCTAGGTAGAGTCAGGCATGTAGTACAAGAAATAAGGAGCCTGGATACCAGGGTCGCTGGTGTCTGGTTTCCTAGCTCAGGCTCTAGGATGCTAGTTAGGTCCCAGAAAATCCAGGGGCCAGGGGCCCTCGTTAGGCTTGTTCCTCTTTGTGACAGTTCTTCTGTGATTCAGTTTACTTCTTTCATAATTGTACTATGCCACCTAAAGATTCTTTTCATCAAATTCAAAAGTTGATTTAAAGAGATTAATTGTCAATATTATTTTTATTTTAGGTAGTTTTTTTGAGAGCTAGAGTTTTTCCCAATAAAGTATGTATTGATATTAAACCTTTAAGTAAAATTATTTTCTCATGAGATAATATTTTGTTGCAGGAAACCACACCTCTAGCTGAAAACCAAGATGAAGACCCACTAGAAGGTAACATAAACCTTGTGCTGAAGTGGTTGGAAACAAAACCCCATTTCCTGGTTTCTCATTCACTCAGCTTGCTAGAAACTGGAAGGTTCTATTGGAAAATTCCAATGTAGGTTGCCTAAGCCATATGCTTCAGTAATTTCTCCTGTTTTTAGAAACTGGTTCTATGGGAACAACTTTAACTAAGCCACCTCTTTGGGCCTTTCTGAAGGACTGAGAAAGGGGGACATTCCCAAACAGTAAGAAGACAATACATTGTTCTTAAGCTCCATTTCCTCTGTAAGTTTAGACTTTGAGGAGAATTATGCTTTAATTCTCTTTTTCAAGGGGGAAGAGCATGAGGTGATTGCTGTGGCCTCAGGGTTATTGGATCCTGGGGTACCTGACAGAGCAGCACTGTAGTGTCAGTCTGGTGGTGCTTCCTGTACTTCTCAATTTGTTTTGGAAAGAACAAAGTTTGCCTGCCTAGAGACAAACACTCTGAATGTGTCTTATTTGAGGAAGGGGAAAAAATGTTTTGCTTCTTTTAAGTAATGGGAAAGAAAAATAGAGGAGAAATGCAGAGAACACTATTGCCTTTTTCTTATCACATGTCTGTCTTATCACATGTTTGTCTAATCTCTCTCTTGCCCAAACCCCTGCCCCTACCAGACAAACCCACCCACTGCCTTTATGACTTTATCAAAGAAGGGAGCATGTTGTTATCAGTCTTTGTAGGCCCTGTTACTAATTCAGAGAGTTCACATGTCAGTAGGTGCTCAGTGTTTAAATTAAATCAAATTGGTGTTGAAAAGAAATGTTTATATGCTGTTGAGCAGTTGTAGTTTTTAGTACTTTGATTTAAACATGAGTAAAGGGTGCTTATTTCAACTTTGTGGGATTTCTTTCAGATTAAGTGTGAGTCTTTCTTCCTGCCTTTTATCAGTTATGCAATTTATTAAAATTGATGCAGGATTTCTTGCTCCTTAGTTCAGCTAAATCTGGGTCCTTGTCTCACAACCAGGAAAAATTAGGCATGTGGATACATTGAAGGGTGAGGAGGATGGAATTTATTAAGTGAAAGGAAAGCTCTTAACAAAAAGAGGGATCCCAAACACAGGTTTCCACCTCACAAATTGAATACCAGGCCATCACATACGAGTTGAAAAGGCCAGGCTCCTCCCCTGCATAAGGTGTGAATTCCTGGTGACTCCTCCTCATTCTTCCAATGTGCACGTGGGCCCTTAGTCTGAGCCACTCCACATTGATTTATTTCCCTTATTGCACATGTGTTAAAAGATGGAATTTTTCACCGTGGGCATGTTTAGCCAAGCCCCCTGTGCACAATGACTTGGGCAGGTTGGAGGTTCTCCAGGGACCTTACCCTATTTGCCTAGGCATTTGGCTGTCCCATGCCTCTATCAAAATAATAGAGGTAAAAGTCTGCTTTTTGGATACAGATTGCCACGGGGTTCAGATTCTACCTACTAGCTCTGTAATTCCAGACAAATTAATCTCTAGTGTGTCTGCTTCAGTTTCTGTAAAGTGGGGACATTGATACCTTTCTTATAGGAAGTGTGGGTATGCTAGGTCTACAGTACTTTTAGGTGGTTAAACAGCTGCTGCCATATCATAAACACTCAAGTATTGGCTGGTCATCAATCTGGCACAGTACTGGTCAGTAGAAATGTAATGCAGTTGCACCTCAAGGAGCTAGAAGAACAAGAACAAAGTAAACCCAAAATTAGTAGAAGAAAAGAAATAATAAAGACTATAGCAAAAATAGATAGAAACTAGAAAAACAATACAAAAGATCAACAAAATGAAGGGTTGGTTTCTTTAAAAGATAGTCAACAAACCTTTAAGAACAAAAGAAACTCAAAATCAGATGAAAAAGGAGACATTACAACTGATATCACAGAAATACAAAGGAACATAAAAGACAATTATGAACAATTATACATCAGTAAATTGGATAACATAGAAGAAATGAGTAAATTCCTGGACACATACAATCTACCACCTACCAAGATTAAATTATGAAGAAATAGAAAACCTGAACAGACCAATAATAAGGAATTGAAACAGTAATAAAAAGTTTCCCATCAGGCCAGGCCTGGTGGATAATGCCTATAATCCCAAGCACTTCGGGAGGCTAATAGGGGAGGATCATTTGAGCCCAGGGGCTTGAGACCAGACTTGGCAATACAGTGAGACCTTGTCTCTACAAAAAATTTAAAAAAATAACTGGGTATGGTAGCATGTACCTATAGTCCCAAATATTTGAGAGGCTGAGATAGGAGGATTGCTTGTGCCCAAAAGACTGAGGCTTAAGTGAGCTATGAATGTGCCACTGCATGTCAGCCTGGGTGACAGAGTGAGACCCTGTCTCAAAAAAAAGTCTCCCATCAAAGAAAAGCCCAGGTCCTGATGGCCTGTTTAATTCTACCAAACATTTATTTTTCATTTTATTTTATTTTTTGTAGAGGTGGAGTCTCACTTTGTTGCTCAGGTTGGTCTCAAACTCTTAGGCTCAAGCGATCCTCCCAGCTCTGCCTCCCCAAGGGCTGGAATTACAGGCCTGAGTCACCATGCCCAGCCCCCAGATATTTAAAGAAGAACTAATGCCATGTCTTAAACACTCCAAAAAATCGAAGACGAAATACTTTGAAACTTATTTTATGAAGCCAGCATTACTCTGATATCACAACCAGAAAAGGACACAACAAGAAAAAACTACAACCAATATTCCTGATGAACATAGATGCAAAGGTCCCCAACAAAATACTAGCAAACTGAATTCAACAGCACAATGACAAAATCATCTGTCATGAACAAGTGGTATTCATCCCAGGGACGCAAGGATAGTTTAATATACACAAATTAATAAACATGATACATCCCATTATCCCATCAACAGAATGAAGGACAAAAAACATTATTTTTCTTTTTTTTTTCCTGGAGATAGGGTCTCACTCTGTCACCCAGGTTGGAGTGCAGTGCCGTGATCTCGGCTGCAACCTCTGCATCCTAGGCTCAAGCAATCCTCCCATCTCAGCCTCCCAAGTAGCTGGGACCACAGGTGCATGACACCATGCCCAGCTAATTTTTTGTATTTTTGGTAGAGATGGGGTTTCGCCATGTTGCCCAAGCTGGTCTTGAACTCCTGAGCTCAGGTGATCTGCCTGCCTCAGCCTCCCAGAGTTCTGGGATTACGGGCATGAGCAACTGCGCTTGGTGATCATTTCAGTAGATGCAGAAAAATCATTTGACAAAATTCAGTTATCTCTTCATGATAAAAACTTCCAACAAATTAGGTATAAAAGGAGTGTACCTCAATACAATAGAGTCCATATAACAAACTCACAGCTAATATTGCACTGAACGGGGAAAATCTGAAAGCTTTTCCTCTAAGATCTGAAACCAGATAAGGATGCCCACTTTCACTACTTCTATTCAACATAATATTAGAAGTCTAGCCAGAGCAGTTAGGCAAGAGGGAGAAACTAAAGGTTCCTAGGTTGGAAAGGAAGAAGTTTTGAAGATGACATGATGTGATATACAGGCATACCTCATTTTATTGCACTTCACTTTATTATGTTCCACAGAGACTATGGTTTTTGTTTTTTGTTTTTTTTTTTTAACAAGTTAGAAGTTTATGGCAGCCCTGCATTGAGCAAGTGTATCTGTGCCATTTTCGCAAACGGTATGTGCTTACTTGTTAGCACTGTTTAGCAATGAGCTATTTTTTTTTCTATTTTTTTTTTTTTTTTGGAGACAGTCTTGCTTTGTCACCCAGGCTGGAGTAAAGTGGCGTGATCTCGGCTCACTGCAACCTCCGTCTCCGGGTTCAAGCGATTCTTCTGCCTTAGCCTCTTGAGTAGCTGGGACTAGAGGCACCTGCCACTACGCCCAGCTAACTTTTGTATTTTTAGTAGAGATGGGGTTTCGCCATGTTGGCCAGGCTGGTCTCAAACTCCTGGCCTCAGGTGATCCACCCACGTCATCCTCCCAAAGTGCTGGGATTGCAGGCATGAGCCACCGTGCCCAGCCGCAATAAACTATTTCTTAAGGTATTTACATTGTAAACAAATTTGTTCTTTTATTTTATTTTTTTTTGAGATGGAGTCTCACTCTGTTGCCAGGCTGGAGTGCAGTGGTGCGATCTTGGCTCACTGCAATCTCCGCCTCTTGGGTTCAAGTGATTCCCCTGCCTCAGCCTCCCAAGTAGCTGGGACTATAGGCAAGCACCACCATGCCTGGCTAATTTTTTGTATTTTAGTAGAGGTGGGGCTTCACCATGTTGGCCAGGATGGTCTCGATCTCCTGACCTCATGATCTTCCTGCCTCCGCCTCCCAAAGTGCGGGGATTACAGGCGTGAGCCACTGTGCCTGGCCAAATTTGTTCTTTTAAAAAAATTTTTTTAAAAACAGAGACAAGGTCTTACTATGTTGCCCAGGCTGGTGTCGAACTCCTGAGCTCAAGTGATTCTCCAGCCACGGCCTCCCAAAGTACTGGGATTACAGGCATAAGCCACCATGCCCAGCCAATGTAAACAACTTTTATATGCACTGGGAAACAAAAAATTCATGTGACTTGCTTCATTGCAATATTCATTTTATTGCAGTGGTTAGGAACTAAACCTGCAATATCTCTGAGGTATGCCTGTAGAGAAAACCCTACAGACTCTGCCAAAAAACTGTTAGGTCTAATAAACTTATTAATTTTGTATCCTGTAACTTTACTACACAAAATTGTTTCTATACACTAATACTGTTTGAAAAAGATAACAAGAAAATAATCCCATGTACAATAGCTGTAACAAAAACTTAAGAGTAAATTTAACTGAGGTGAAAGATGTCTATACTGAACACTATAAAGTGTTGATGGAAGAAACTGAAGACACAAAAGATATCTCATGCTCATGGATTAAAACAATGAATATTATTAAAATGTTCATACTACCCAAAGTGATCTACAGAATCAATGCACTCTCTCTGTCTTTTTTTTTTTTTTTTTTTTTTTTAAGACAGTCTCACTCTGTTGCCCAGGCTGGAGGGCAGTGGTGTTTGAGCTCGGCTCACTGCAACCGCCTCCTCCAGGGTTCAAGCAATTCTCCTGCCTCAGCCTCCCAAGTAGGATTGGAATTACAGTAGGATTGGAATTACCACACCCAGCTAATTTTTGTATTTTTAGTAGAGATGGGGCTTCTCCATGTTGGCCAGGCTGGTCTTGAACTCCTGACCTCAGGTGATCCACCTGCTTTGGCCTCCCAAAGTTCTGGGATTACAGGCATGAGCCACTATGCCCAGCCAGATTCAATGTACTCTCTATCAAAATACCAATGGCATTCTACATAGAAATAGAAAAAAATGACCGAGTGCACAGTGTCTCATGCCTGTAATCCTGGCACTTTGGGAGGCTCAGGTGGGAGGATCACGTGAGGTCAGGAGTTCAAGAACAGCCTGGTCAACATGGTGAAACCCCGTCTCTACTAACAATACAAAAATTAGCCAGGCATAGTGGCATGCGTGCCTGTAGTCCCAGCTACTCGGGAGGCTGAGGTGGGAGAATTGCTGGAACCCGGGAGGCGGAGGTTAGAGTGAGCCAAGGTGGCGCCACTGCACTCCAGCCTGGGTGACAAAGTGAGACCCTGTCTTGGGAAAAAAAAAAAGAAAAAAATGATACTATAATTTGTATGGAATCACAAAAAAACCTAAATAGCCAAAGCAATCTGAGCCAAAAAAAAAAAAGGGTGAAGGCATCACACTACCTGACTTTGTACTACAAAGTTGTGGTAACCAAAGCAGCATGATACTGGCATAATAACAGACACATAAACCAATGGAACAGAATAGAGAGCCCAGAAATAAATCCACACATTTATAGCCCACTGATTTTCAGCAAAGGTGCCAAGAACACACAATGGGGAAAAGGCAGTCTCTTCAATAAATGGTGCTCAGAAAACAATGTCCACATGCAAAAGAATGAAATTAGACTGTTTATCTCTCACTATATACAAAAACAACTCAAAATAGATTAAAGACTTAAATGTAAGACCCAAAACTGTGAAACTACTAGAAGAAAACATAAGGGAAAAGCTCCACGACATTGGTCTGGGCAATGATTTTTTTGGATATGACCTCAAAAGGACAGGCAGCAAACGCAAAAATAGAAAAATAGTATCACAGTGAACTAAAAAGCTTCTGTACAGCAAAGGAAACAGTAACAGAGTGAAGACAGACAACGGAGTGGGAGAAAATATTTGCACGCTATGCAAGTGATTATGAAGAGGCATCTTCTGGGGTAAATACCCAGGGTTCGTCGTCTTGCACCAGGAGGAATAAGGACATGGACACATGTGGGTGGGTTAAGGAGTGCAAGGCTTAATAGGTAGAAGAAAGGAGAGAGGAGAGCAGCTCTGTGTGACAGGAAACAGGCCTCCGAAAAGGAAAAGTAGGCCTGTAGCAGACAGCAGGCAATTTTACAGGCAGGCTTGAGGAGGCGGTGTCTGATTTATGTAGGGCCCAGATTGGCTAGACCAGGTGTGACGTCTACATGATGCCAGGCGAAGGCTGGTTGCCCTACCCTGATCTTATTATGCAAATAGACTTTCCACTTGTCCGCCATCTTGTCCGCTCCTTACTGCACAAGTGGCTGGCAAAGAGAAGATGGAGCCGCCATTTTGAACATGCCTATTCCTTAGGTAGCTTTTTCCTATTGGCACAACTGCTGGCATTTGCATGTGCAAGCTTCTAGCTTGCTTGTCTGTGTCTGCAGTTCAGTTTTACAGGTTGCTGTTTGTTAGAAAAGAAAATGATTTGGGGGCAGCTGTTCATGAAAAGCAAAACCTTACCGAGGACTTTCTTACCCTAAATAATTTCTTTTTAACTCCTGTATCAATAAGGGGTTAATATGCTAAATATATAAGGAAATCAAATGACTCATTAGCAAGAAAATAACCTGATTATTCAGGTCTTTTGCACATTTAAAAAAATTTTTATTTCAATAGTTTTTGGGGGTACAGATGGTTTTTGGTTACAGGGATAAGTTTTTTGTTTTGTTTTGTTTTGTTTTTTTGAGAGTGAGTCTCACTCTGTTGTCTAGGCTGGAACGCAGTGGCGTGATTTCGGCTCACTGCAGCCTCCGCCTCCCCCGTTCAAATGAACCCAGTCTCAGACTCCTGAGTAGCTGGGATTACAGGCACTCGCCACCACGCCCAGCTAATTTTTGTATTTTTAGTAGAGACGGGGTTTCACCATGTTGGCCAGACTGGTCTCAAACTCCTGACCTCAGGTGATCCACCCACCTTGGCCTCCCAAAGTGCTGGGATTACAGGCGTGAGCCACCGTGCCCGGCCATTTTTTAAGACATTTCTCAAGAGATGATGTACAAATGACCAATAGATGCATGAGAAAATGTTCAACTTCACTAATCATCAGAGAACTGTAAATTAAAACCACAGTAGTGAGATATCGTCTCACTCCTGATAGAATGGCTGTTATCAAAAAGACGAAAGATAACAAATGTTGGGTAGGATGTGAAGAAAAGAGCCCTTGCATACTGTTGGTGGGAATGTAAATTGGTACAGCAGTTATAAAAAGTATGGCGTTTCCTCAAATTATTAACAGTAGAGCTACTATATGATCCAGCAATCCCACTATTGGGCATATATCCAAAGGAAATGAAATCAGTATGTCAAAGAGACATCTGTACCTCCGTGTCTATTGCAGCACTATTCACAATAGCCAAGATACAGAATCAAACTAAATGCCCATAAGTGGATGAATGGATAAAGAAAATGCGTATATACACAATAGAATACTATTCAACTGTAAAAAGGATGAAATCTTGTCATTTGTGGCAACATGGATGAACATGGAGAACATTATGTCAAGTGAAATAAACCAGGCACGGAAGAACAAATGCCATATGATTTCACTCATGTGGAATCTTAAAAAGCTTATTTCATAGCAGTAGAGCATAGAATGGTGGTTACTAGAGGCTAGGGTAGTTGCAGGGAGAGAGTGGTAGGGAGATGTTGGTCAAAAGATAGAATTTCAGTTAGCTAGGAGGAATACCGTTCAAGAGATTTATTGTAGGCTGGGCACGGTGGCTTACACCTGTAATCCCAGCACTTTGGGAGGCCGAGGTGGGTGGATCACGAGGTCAAGAGTTTGAGACCAGCCTGACCAACATGGTGAACCCTCATCTCTATTAAAGATACAAAAAATTAGCCGAGTGTGGTGGTGTGCGCCTGTAATCCCAGCTACTTGGGAGGCTGAGGCAGGGGAACCACTTGAACCCAGGAGGTGGAGGTTGCAGTCAGCTGAGATCGCACCATTGCACTCCAGCCTGGGCAACAAGAGCAAAACTCCGTCTCAAAAAAAAAAAAAAAATGTATTGTATACCATGGTGACTATAGTTAATGAAGAAATACAGGCTAATTCGAAGGTAGTGAGTTATCGCAATTGGTTGTTCAGTCAGTTACAGATTGAACTTTTTGTTCTACTCTTTCCTTGCTTCTTACTGCTGCATTTGACTAGTCTTTTAAAAAAAAAAAAAAAAAAGAAAGAAAGAAAAATACTTAGTGGATATTCAGTGTTTCCACCACAAAAATGAAAAATGATAACTATGTGAGGTAGTTATTTGATCCTTTGATCATTCCACAATGAATATATACTTAAAACACTATGTTGTACGTGATAAATACATACAGTTTTCTCTGTCAGTTTGAAACACATAGAAATTTAAAAATAGACAATGTGAAACACAAAGCCATCCATGTGGGTAATTTTAAATTTTTTAGTAGCCAAATTAAAGAACCAACTCAAGAGATAGGTGAAATTAATGTTTCTTACTTAACCTAATATCTGGTATGGACTGAATTTGTGTTCCTCCCCCTCGCCAAATTCATATGTTGAAACCCTCACTCCCAATGTGATAGTTTTAGGAGATGGGTCTTTAGGGAGATGATTAGGATTAGGTGAGGTCATGAGGGTAGAGCCCTCATGAATGGAAATGGTGACCTTATAAAAGTCACGAGGGAATTTGATTCCTCTCTCTGCCCTCTGCCATGTGAAGACATGACTTCTGGGCAGTGTGCAACCCAGAAGAGGGTCCTCACCAGAACCCAACCACGCTGACACCCTGATCTTGGACTTCCGGTTTCCAGAACTGTGAGAAATAACTGTGTGTTGTTTACGAACTAGTCAGTTTCTGATATGTTGTTAGCAGCCCAAACTAAGGCAATATCCAAGATATTATTCCAACATGCAATCAATATAAAAATTAACGACTTTTTTTACATCAAGTCTTTGAAATGCAGCATATATTTTTTCTATTTTTTTTCTTTTAATGGCTGCCCCCTCACCTGCAGATTGAGGGGACCCTTATTTTGAGGGCTATTCAGACATTACCTTCAAGCAGAGTTTTAAATTGTTCCTATTGTGGTGAAATATGCATAACATAAAATTTACCATCTTGACTTTTAAATGTATCACACTTGATCTTAGCCAAAAGGCCGGGAAGCAATAGACTTTTAAATGTATCAGTGGTATTAAGTACATTCGTAATGTTGTGTAACCATCACCATTCATCTCCAGAACTCTTCATTTTATAACCTGAAACTCCATACCCATTAAATAACAACTCTTCACTCTCCCTTCCCTCATCCCCTGGCAACCACCATTCTGCTTTCAATGTGGTGTATATTTTATCCTTACATCACATCTCAGTGAGGGCCAGCAATGCTCAATAGCTGCATGTGGCTAGTGGCTACTGTGTTGGACAACATGGGTCTAGAAGATTCACAGGTTTAGGGATGATATAATTAGTTTGTCTTGAATAGGCTTCTATTATAGTTTTGATCAACATCACTGGAAGGGCAGAGATCATGTAATCTGGGGTTTGGAGCTGACCACACTATATCTGTTTTCTTGGCCACAGGTTAAGTGGAGAGCATGCTCATAAGCATATGATCCTAACTCCTCTTTCCCCACCAGGGGCATGCAGTCAGGGACCCATTAGCAGACAACTGCCCATAACGGTAAAGGAAGGGAACCGGGGACAGAAGTGTAAGAAAATTTCAGAATGTTTAGTGGGAAAAAAGGGAAACATCTACTTTTATGACCAGAAACGCTCAAAGGAAACTCAAAAGGGATGGGAAGCTCTAAAGAATAAGAATCAGACAACACAATCATGAATGACTCCAATGAAGAAAAGTGAGAAGTAGCTCATGGAATTTATATGATGACTAAAGCCTATTTGACCATTTTGGTTCTAAAATGATAAATACAGAAGAGTACTGCATTAGTCTTCTAGGGCTACTGTAACATAGTACCACAGACTGGGTGGTTTAAACAAAGATTTATTTTCTTACCATTCTGGAGGCTGGAAATCCAATATCCAGGGTCTGGATAATTTGGTTTCTGGCGAGGGCTCTCTTCTTGGCTTGCAGACAGCAGCCTTCTTGCTGTTTCCACACTTGACCTCTTTATGCATGCATTGTAGGAGAGAATGTGAGCAAGTTCTCTGCTCTTTTTTTAAAAAAAATTATTTTTATATTTTGTAGTGACGTCTCAGTATGTTGCCCAGGCTGATCTCAAACTCCCAGATTTAAGCAATTCACTGGTCTCAGCTTCCCAAAGTGTTGGGGTTACAGGTATGAGTTGCTGTGTCCTGCCTGCTGTCGCTTTTTATAAGGGCACTACTTCTGTCAGACCAGCACCCAACTCTTATGACCTCATCTAACCTCCCAGAGGCCCCATCTCCAAATGCCTTCACATTGTGGGGGTTAGGCTTTTAACAGAAGAATTTTGTGGGGCAAAGATTTAGTCCCTAATAAGCATACAGATGAATAGCATGAACCCATATGAGTATTAGGAAGCAAATTATGATCCTCAAGGAACTAAGGCTTGCAAAAATTACAAAGGAAAACATAAAAGGCTTCTTCCATTACATTCAGTACAAGGAGAGGAAAAAAATAGATTAAAAAAATTAATGACCTTGTAAGCCTTGGAAAGCTCTGGAAACCTGACAACTTGGGCAGAAAATCCACGTTTAATACGTTCGCAATAACATAATACCATCTCGTCACAGGGTTCCAGGGTTCGGAGATGGAAGGCCAAGTCCTCCTGTCTTTCTGAATTAGTTGCTGTATAAAATTAATTCACTTTATCTGTTAACTGAGCAGTTAAAGTAGCATGTGTATTTTTACAAACCCCTGTCCAAGGGGCCCTTGGCTTGGTTCATTGTTTGGCATTGTATCTATCTGGCTCATGCCAGAAACATGGCAGTCATTCTTGACCTTCCTTTTCCCCTTTCCTCCCAAATTGAATCCATCCCCCAAGCATCTGAAATCTGTCCATTTTTTTCCTCCATCTCTTCTGTCAGCTGGATGCTCATTGAGTTTGATGACACTACTACTTTTATAGCTTAAATTTCTATTTTCAAGTCTTATTGAAAGGAAATATGCAATTTAAGAATTTTAACCTTTACTATCTGCAGTACTTCCTGCAAATGCTTTCTAAAAGCTTTCTAATTTTAAACTATTTCTAGTATGTGTCCTGTAAAACTCTATTTTTTTCATATCCATTATTGGCTTCTGCAGATCCACATCTTCATTTGAATATTGAGGAATCAAACCAAGAGTTTATGGTGAAAAGTGAAGAACTCTACGACTCCCTCATGAATTGCCACTGGCAGCCTCTGGACACAGTTCACTCCGAAATCCCAGATGAGACCCCGAAGTGAAGCAAGGTGTTCATTAAACTCCGCAATTATCATACTAATTGTGTCGTCTTTTGTTTTGGGAAAAAAGTAGTTCTCCCAGGAAGGCACTGGATTCTGTATATAAAAACCAACTTCCAGGGCTTACATGTGATTGACATGAGAGAATATTAACGCAAATAAACTTTACCAGCACATGTGTTCCTGGAAGTGTTACATTAAGTAAGGGCCAGAAGAGCTCACGTGATGATCATGGTAGAACAAGCTGTGCCATAAAACCCTTGGAAATAGGTTTAATATGAGGTGAGCTTGAGCTGAACTGATTGTGGCATTGGCTACTCTGATAGGATTTGCTGCTTTCTCTAACTTCAAACTCTCATGGAGAGAAATTGTATCCACAGACAATGCATGGTTTCTTGCTTGTGTCTTGTCTAGAGAATGTTAGTTAGAACTGGATGTTTGATCTCCATTTCCTGGCCCCATAAGAGAGCTAGATGTGGCAGTAGAGACTCAATTGAACAGAAAGATTCCTAAGCAGGGAAAAAAATTTGCTTGATCCAAACAGCATGTCAACTTTCTAAGATAGAGGAATTAGGCCCTCATAAAAGCCAGCCAATGTGTATATTGACTGTGCTCCTTAAAAAATGTCTTTTTTTTTTTGTCCCGAAGATGATCATTGTGTCCTGTTTTATTGCTTTGCTATGGATGGATACTTTAATGACCCCTGGGACTGATGTGAGTTGACTGCTAGAAGACTGATTGCTTAGAAACAAGTCGATTAGACTGTGGGCAAGGGCAGTCTGACATCTCTTTTGCTCTGAAGGTGCTTGACAGATGCTAATCCTTGCGCTAAACAGGTTCAAAGACCGAATCCTACATGGAGAGCCAGGCGGGCTGCAGCCATTGTAAAGGAGCTTCCTCTGCCCCATGGTTTCTCAGCCTTGGCACTATTGCCATTTGGGGCTGGACACTTCTTTGCTGTGGGAGACTGTCTTGCACGTTGTCCTGACCTCTACTGCTAGATGCCAGTAGCACCCTGCACTCCAGTTGTGACAACCGAAATGTCTCTAGACATTGTCAAATGTCCCCTACAGGCAAAATCCCCACCACCACCACCCAATTGAAAACCACTGGAATAAGGCAATGTTTTCAAACTCTAGGGTGTATCAGAATCTCCTAGAAGACTTTCTGAAACACAGATTCTTGGGCACCATCCTGAGTTTGATTCAATAGGTTTGGGGTGGGACCTGACAATTTTCAGTTCTCTAAAAAGTTTATGGATAACAACACTCTGAAAACCAGTGGCACAGGGATATTCTCAACTAGCTCAACTTAGTTCTACCTAGAACAGAGGGTGAAGTTCTACTTTCACACTCACCTCCTTAATACAAGGTGTGCAAGTCCCTACTTTCCTACAGGGCCCTGGCTTGATCAAGTATCCATCATCCTCCTCTAGCCATATGTTTTGGGGACCAGCACTATATTCAGCTCCAGGGAATGGCTCTTGTAGCATCTGAGCCATGTGTAGTGATCCCATTCCTCTTGCCAGTGATTGATAAGAGACATATGATAAAATTCTGGCTAACGAGATGTGAGGTGATGTTTTATCTCATTTTTAAAAGGAACAAAAAAGAGACAGCTACAGTCTCATACTGAGCATTAGGTTTAGATGTGATGCCTGGTGCTGTGGCAGACATACTGTGACTCTTAGGGGAACAATCTTAGGGTAGTGCTCATGCACCAGGGATGGCAGTGAAGGAAGATGGAAGGAACCTGGATCCATGATAATGGCATTGAAGCTGTTGAATTAGCCAACCCTGGATTCTCTCATCTGGACTTATGTTTAATCCACTCTGAATTTTTGTTATTTGTAGCAAAAGTATCCTGACTCTAGCATGGATAGATACAGATAGCATGTGCAAAGGGCTTGATATCCTTGAACCAAAACGAGGTCTGTCAGAGTGTCTAGAGCTGTGTTGTCTGCTATGGTAGCCACTAGCCACATATGGCTATTGAAATTTTATTTAAGCAAAATTAAAACTTTGCTTTTCCTTTTGTACTAGGTATGTTTCAAGTGTTCAGTAGCCACATGTCAGTAGGGGCTACTATATTGTGTAGCGCTGGTCTTATAGGTAAGGGGAAGAGGAACCTGAGATTAGATTAGGCGGATCTCTCAATTTTTCTTTAAACTCTTTTTCTAATTGTTCCCCTTCCATAAGATTTTAATTTCATAGGTATTATATATGCTCTATCTATACCTGTTCTTTATACGTTGGAAAAAGAAAGATTTACTTTATCCCCTCTCTTCCCCTCCAGAACCAATATTCACCTCCCTGGAGGTTGATATTGTCCCCTGTTGCAGATACATGGCTCGTGTGGTAATCGTGAGTAAGCTCAGGCAGGGATTTTAGGTCACTGTAAAGAATTTGGATTTTATTAAAATTGTATTTAGGAGGCAATGAACTAATTTTAAGGATGGGATTGGCATGGTCAGTTTTGCCTTTAGAAAGTGATTCCAAAGGCAGAGGGGCCAAGATAGCCTATTAGAAGCAGCTGCAGTACTCATGGAGAGGAATGAAAGTGGGGAGTGAATTTAGCACCTTCAACTGAAATATCCAGGTTCTTGCATTGGGGCTGACTAGGCAAACAACTTGACCCGAAGAGAACAAAGAAAAGAAGGGTGGGGTGATGGCCCAACTGGGAACAGCATGGAGCCAAAGGAACCCCTGCCCCTAGCCAAGGAAAGTGGTGAGTGATTGTGCAAGCCCACTCAGGAAACCACAATTCCCCCATGGATCTTTGCAACCTGCAGATCAGGAGATCCCTTTGTGAGCCTGTGCCACCAGGGCCTTGAGTCCGATACACAAAGCTACACGCAGTCTTGGCAGAGCAGCTTCTCAGACACAAAGAGACCCAGGAGTTTTACATTCTCTGACCCTCGGATCCCTGGCAAGGTAGGATATCCATCTGTAAATAATCCTGGGAAGGGGGCTGAATCCAGGGAGCCAAGCAGCGTTGTTCTGTGGGCCCCACATCCATGGCACCTCACAGATTAAGACACACTGGCTTAGAATTCCAGCCAGCCAATGGCAACAGTCTGCCAGAGATGGGACTGAGTTCCTAAGGGGAGCATTGGCTGCCATCTCTGTGGTTTGGTAGACTCAGCTGTTCCAGCCTGTCAGCTTTGGAGAATACAAACAGTCTAGACAAGGAAGGGTTCTCCCTAGTGAAGCACACCTGCTCTACAAAAAGCAGCCAGAGTGCTTCTATAAGTGCGTCCCTGATCCCATTCCTCCTCACTGGGTAATAAGGCCCCCCAATAGGGGTTTCCAGCCATCTCCTACAGGTGCATTTGGGCCGGCAACAGGTCAGTTACCCCCCAGGACAAAGCTTCTATAGGAAGGAGCAGGCTGTCATCTTTGCTGTTTTGCAGTCTTCACTGGTGATACCTCCAGGTATGGGAAAAACTGAGGCAACTAAGGGTCTGGAGTGGACCCCCAGCAAACCGCAGAAGCCCTATGGAAGAATCTCCTGACTGTTAAAACAACATCAACAAAAACCCCACAAAAACCCCATTCAAAGGTCAGCAACTTCAAAGATCAGCGGTAGAAAAACCCACAAAGATGGGAGAGAATCAATGCAAAAATGCTGAAAACTCAAAAAACCAGAGTGCCTCATCTCCTCCAAATGACTACAACACCTCTCCAGCAAGGGCACAGAACTGGGCTGAGACTGAGATGGCTGAATTGACAGAAGTAGGCTTCAGAAGGTGGGTAATATTGAACTTCACTGAGCTAAAGGAGCATGCTGTAACTCAATGCAAAGAAGCTAGGAATCTAAACAATACAGGAGCTGATAACTAGAATAGCCAGTTTAGAGAGGAACATAACCAACCTGATGGAGCTGAGGGTTCAGTTCAACAACAAGAGCTAATTATCCTAAATATATATTCACCCAATACAGGAGCACCTAGATTAATAAAGCAAGTTCTTGGAGACCTACGAAGAGACTTGGACTCCCACACAATAATAGTGGGAGACTTCAACACCCCATTGATAATATTAGATAATTGATACAGAAAATAAAGATATTCAGGACCTGAACTCAGCTCTGGATCAAGTGGACCTGGGAGATAACTACAGAACTCTCCACCCCAAAACAACAGAATTTACATTCTTCTCATCACCACGCAGCACTTACTCTAAAATTGACCACATAATTAGAAGTAAAACACTCCTCAGCAAATGAAAAAGAACTGAAATCATAACAGTCTCTCTGACCATAGTGCTATCAAATTAGAACTCAAGATTAAGAATTTCCACTCAAAACCACACAACTACATGGAAATTGAACAATCTGCTTCTGAACAACTATTGGGTAAATAATGAAATTAAGACAGAAATCAAGAAGTTCTTTGAAACTAAGGAGAACAAAGAGAAAATGTACCAGAATCCCTGGGACACAGCTAAAGCAGTATTAAGAGAGAAATTTATAGCACTAAATGACCACATCAAAAAGCTAGAAACATCTCAAGTTAACAATCTAACATCTCAACTAAAAGAACTAGAGAACCAACAGCAAGCAAACCCCAAAGGTAGCAGAAAACAAGAAATAACCAAGATCAGAGCTGAACTGAAGTAGATAGAAACATGAAAAACCCTTCAAAAATCAACAAATCCAGGGGTTGGTTTTTTGAAAAAATAGACTGTTAGCTGGACTAATAAAGAATAAAAGAAGAATGAAATAAAGTCAGAAATAATAAGGGGGATATCACCACTGACCCCACAGAAATACAATCATCAGAGAATATTATAAATGCCTCTATGCATATATACTAGAAAACCTAGAAGAAATGGATAAATTACTGGACACATACACCCTCCCAAGACCAAACCAGGAAGAAATTGAATCCCTGAATAGAACAATAATTAGTTTTGAAATTGAAGCAGCAATTAATAATAGCCTACCAACCAACCAAAAGCAAAAAAAAAGCCCAGGATCAAATGGATTCACAGCTGAATTCTCCCAGAGGTACAAAGAAGAGCTGGTATCATTTCTACTGAAATTATTTCCAAAAATTGAAAAGGAGGGACAGGGACTCCTCCCTAACTCATTCCATGAGGCTAGCATCCTGATACCAAAACGTGGCAGAGATACAACAAAAAAAGAAAACTTCAGGCCAATATCCTTGATGAACATTGATGCAAATATCCTCAATAAAATACTAGCAAACCAATTCCAGCAGCACATCAAAAAACTTATCCATGACAATCAAATTGGTTTCATCCCTGGGATGCAAGGTTGCTTCAACATACACAAATCAATTAATGTGATTCATCACATAAACAGAACTAAAGATGAAAACCACAGGATTATCTCAATAGATACAAAAAAGGCTTTTGATAAAATTCAACATCCCTTCATGCTAAAAACTCTCAATAAACTAAGTATTGAAGGAACGTACCTCAAAATAAGAAGAGCCATATATGACAAACCCACAGCCAATATAATACTGAATGGGCAAAAGCTGGAAGCATTCCTCTTGAAAACTGGCACAAGACAAGAATACCCTCTCTCACTCCTATTCAACATAATATTGGAAGTTCTGTCCAGGACAATCAGGCAAGAGAAAGAAATAAAGGGTATTCAAATAGGAAAAGAGGAAGTCAAATTATCTTTGTTTGCAGATGACATGATTCTATATCAAGAAAATCCCATCATCTCGGCCCAAAAGTTACTTAAGCTGATGAGCAACTTCAGCAAAGTCTCAGGATACAAAATCAATGTATAAAAATTGCTAGCATTCCTATATACCAACAACATCCAAGCAGAGAGTCAAATCATGAATCAACTCCCATTCACAATTGCTGCAGAAAGGAAAAAATACCTAGGAATACAATTTACAAGGGAAGTGAAGGAGCTTTTCTAGAACTACAAACCACTGCTCAAAGAAATCAGAGAGGGGCTGGGCGCAATGGCTCAGGCTTGTAATCCCAGCACTTTGGAGGCTGAGGTGGGTGGATCACCTGAGGTCAGGAGTTTGAGACCAGCCTGCCCAACACAGCAAAACCCCATCTTTACTAAAAATACAAAAAATTAGGCAGGTGTGGTGGCGGGTGCCTGTAATCCCAGCTACTCGGGAGGCTGAGGCAGGAGAATCACTTGAACCTGGGAGGTGGAGGTTGCAGTGAGCCGAGATCACGCCACTGCACTTCAGCCTGGGTGACAAAAGTGAAACTCTGTCTCAAAAAAAAAAAAAAAGAAATCAGGACACAAACAAATGGAAAAACATTCCATGCTCATGAATAGGAATAATTAATATCATGCAAATGGCCATACTGCCCAAAGTAATTTATAGATTCAATGCTATTTCGCTTAAACTGCCATTGACATTCTTCATAGAATTAGAAAAACTATTTTAAAGTTCATATGGAACCAAAAAAGAGCACGTATAGCCAAGACAATCCTAAGCAAAAAGAACAAAGTTGGAGGCATCATACTACCTGACTTCAAACTATACTGCAAGGCTACACTAACCAAAACAGCATGGCTTGTACAAGAAAAGACACATAGACCAATGGAACAGAATAGACAACTCAGAAATAAGACCACACATCTACAACCATCTGATCTTCAACAAACTTGACAAAAACAAGCAATGGGGAAAGGATTCCCTATTCAATAAAAGGTGCTGGAAGAACTAGCTAGCCACATGCAGAAAATTGAAACTGGTCCCCTTCCTTACGCCGTATACAAAGATTAACTTAGGATGGATTAAATACTTAAACATAAAACCCAAAACTATAAACACCCTAGAAAATCTAGGCAATATCGTTCAGTACATAGGCACAGGCAATGATTTCATAACAAAAATGCCAAAAGCAATTGCAACAAAAGCAAAAACTGACAGATGGGATCTAATTAAACTAAAATGCAAAAGAAACAGCAGAAGAAACTATCGTCAAAATAAACAGACAACCTACAGAATGGGAGAAAAGTTTTGCAATCTATCCATCTCACAAAGGTCTAATATCCAGAGTCTACAAGGAACTTAAACAAATACACACACACACACACACACAAAACCCATAAAAAGTGGGCAAAGGACATGAACAGACACTTCTGAAAAGAAGACATAGACGCGGCCAACAAACATATGCAAAAAAGCTCAACATCACTGATCATTAGAGAAATGCAAATCAAACCCACAACGAGATGCCATCTCACACCAGTCAGAGTGGCTATTATTAGAAAGTCAATAAACAACAGATGCTGGCAAGGTTGTGGAGAAAAAGGAACGCTTTTACACTGTTGGTGGCAGTGTAAATTAGTTCAACCATTGTGGAAGACAGTGTGGTGGTGATTCCTCAAAGACTTAAATTAGCCGGGTGTGGTGGCGGGCGCCTGTAGTCCCAGTACTTGGGAGGCTGAGGCAGGAGAATGGCATGAACCTGGGAGGCGGAGCTTGCAGTGAGCCGAGATCGCACCACTGCACTCCAGACTGGGCGACAGAGCCCATATTCTGTCTCAAAAAAAAAAAAAAAAAAAAGACTTAGAGGCAGAAATACCATTTGACCCAGCAATCCCATTACTGGGTATGTACCTAAAGGAATACAAATCATCCTATTGAAAAGACATATGCACATGTCATTGCAGCACTATTCACAATAGCAAAGACATGGAATTAACCTAAATGCTCATCGATGATAGACTGGATAAAGAAAATGTAGTACATATACACCATGGAATACTCTGCAGCCATAAAAAGGAAGGAGATCATGTCCTTTGCAGGGACATGGATGGGGTTGGAAGCCATTATCCACAGCAAACTAATGCAAGAACAGAAAACCAAATACCACGTGTTCTTGCTTATAAGTGGGAAATGAAAAATGAGAACACATGGGGAACAACACACACACTGGGGCCTGTTGGAGGGGTTGGGGAGTGCATCAGGAAGAATAGCTTAATACCTAGGTGATGGGATGATCTTTGCAGCAAACCACCACGGCACTCATTTAGCTCTGTAACAAACCTGCATATCCTGCATATGTACCCCTGAACTTGAAGGAAAACTCACTCCAGCTGTTCTATGGAACATAGTGTGGAGGGAGATGGGAGGAGAGACAGAGAGCCGTTAGGAAACTACTGCAGCTGTCCTGGCCTAGAGACTGGAGTTTAATTCCAGGGTGGATGTGGTGTATACGGAGAGAGGTGGAGAACTTTAAGGTGCATTTTAGAGATAAAATTATTACTAAAAAGGGGTCCCAGAGTAGACCCCAAGAGAGGGTTCTTGGATCTTAACGCAAGAAAAGAATTTGGGGCAAGCCCATACAGTAAAGTGGAAGCAGGCTTATTAAGAAAGGAACAAAAGAATAGCTACACCATAGACATAAAAATAGCATAGAGATAAGCTATCTTTATGCTTATTTCTTGAATATATGCTCAACAAGGATGGATTATTAATGAGTTTTCCAGAAAAGGGGTAGGGATTTCCTGGAACTAAGGGTTCCTCCTCCTTTTAGACCATATAGGGTAACTTCCTGATGTTGCCATGGCATTTGTAAACTGTCATGGTGCTGGTGGGAGTTTCTTATCATGCTAACGCATTATAATTAGTGCATAATGAGTAATGAGGATGACCAGAGGTCACTTTCTTGCCATATTGGTTTTGGTTGGCTTCTTTAGCACCTCCCGGTTTTTTTTGTTTTTTTGAGACACTGTCTCACTCTTGCCCAAATTGGAGTGCAGTGGTGCAATCTCAGCTCACTGCAACCTCCGCCTCCCAGGTTCAAGCAATTCTCCTTCCTCAGCCTTCCGAGTAGCTGGGACTGCAAATGCGTGCTACCATGCCCGGCTACTTTTTTGTATTTTCAGTAGAGGTAAGGGTTTCACCATGTTGGTCTGGCTGGTCTCAAACTTCTGACCTAAAGTGATCGGCCCACCTCGGCCTCCCAAAGTGCTGGGATCACTAGCAAGCGAGCCACCGCGCCCAACCACCACCTCCTGTTTTATCACCAGTGTTTATGACCCGTATCTTGTGATATCAGTCCTGCGGACCTCCTGTCTTATCCTGTAACTAAGAATGCCTGACCTCCTAGGAATGCAGCCCAGTAGTCTGTCTTGTTTTACCCAGCCCCTATTCAAGATGGAGTCGCTCTGGTTCAAATGACTCTTGACAAAATGTCAGCTTTTTGATTGTGATGAGGGAGATAGGCAGAATCCAGAGTTACCCCTAGGATTTTTTGGCTTGAGTAATAGCATGGTTAGTTGTTCTATTCACTGAAAAGGAAGAAACTGGGATAGCATCATTGTGTGTGGTTAGGTCATGGGTCTGGCAGAATCAAGATGCCTGCCAGACCTTAGGCATAGACTGCTTGAGCTTCCTGAAATATATCTACTCCACAACCATTCTTGATCCCACCGCTGCCAAAAGGGGTAAGGATTCACCCCTTGCTACCTTTTCAGAATGTGGACCATGATGGAGATGCCTGCATTGTTAGACCAACCTAAAGGGAAACTTGTTATATGAATGCTTTGTTTAACCAGAGTCGTCTTAACCAGAATCTTCTCTAATAGCAAGAAATAGGCAAAAGGGAAAACTTCTGGAGAAGTTGAAAAAGGAACAGAATGGGCTTTGCACCTTTATTCTTGAAGCTCAAAGAAACTTTAAAAATGGATTTTAATACTAGACAAAGAACTAGTGGATGCACCAAGATTGTTATATCAGAACTATATGCTGTTCCTATAAAAAGGTTTTTATGTTATCTTATGGGGGAATCTAAACTCCCTTGAGATTGCTGTAACAAGAAAAGGGTTGGGATTTTTTTTTTTTTTTTTTTTGAGATGGAGTCTTATTGTCTCCCAGGCTGGAGTGCAGTGGCATAATCTCGCCTCACTGTAGTCTCTACCTCCCCGGTTCAAATGATTCTCCTGCCAGTCTCCCCACTAGTTAGGATTACAGGAACGTGCTGCCATGCGCCAGGCTAATTTTTGTATATTTGGTAGAGACAGGGTTTTACCATGCTGGCCAAGCTGGTCTTGAACTCCTGGCCTCAAGTAATCCACACACCTTGGCCTCTCAAAGTGCTAGCGTGACCAGAATTAGCGTGTTCTTGGTCTAGACTTCCAAAATGAAGCTATGGAACCTCACAGTGAGTGTTACAGTTCTTAAAGGCAGCGTGTCCACCAGCGTTTCTCCCTACTGATAGCTCAGCTGCGTTCAGTTTTTTTGCTTTTAGTGGGTTCGTGGTCTCTAGCTCAGGACTGAAGCTACAGACCTTTGTGGTGGGCGTCCCAGCTGTTAGGGCGACGCATTATTAGTTGCTCCCAGTGGGTTTACAGTCTCACTGGCTTCATTATTGAAACTGCAAACCTTCGCAGTGAGTGTTATAACTCACAAAGGCAGTGTTGACCCAAACATTGAGCAACAGTAAAATTCATTACAAAGTAAAAACAAACCACCCACACCACATAACACAACCTCACCAAATGGCCACCGCCTGCTCCGGCGGCCTGCTTTTATTCTCTTATCTGGCCCCACCCACATCCTACTGATTGGTCCATTTTACAGAGAGCCAATTGGTCTGTTTTACAGACAACTGATTGGTCCGTTTTGACAGGGTGCTGATTGGTGCGTTTACAAACCTTGAGCTAGACACAAAAGTTCTCTAAGTCCCCACTAGATTAGCTAGACACAGAGCACTGACTGGTGCATTTACAAACCTTGAGCTAGACACAGGGTGCTGAGTGGTGCATTTACAAACCCCGAGCTAGACACAGAGTGCTGATTGGTGCATTCACAATCCCTTAGCTAGGCATAAAGGTTCTCCAAGTCCCCACCAGATCAGCTAGACACAGAGTGCAGATTGGTGCATTTACAAACCTTGAAATAGACACAGGGTGCTGATTGGTGCATTTACAAACCTTGAGCTAGATACAGAGTGCCAATTGCTGTATTCACAATCCCTTAGCTAGACATAAAGATTCTCCAAGTCCCCACCAGATTAGCTAAATACAGAGTGCCCACTGGTGCATCCACAAACCCCGAGCTAGACACAGAGTGCTGATTGGTGTGTTTACCCTCCCTTGACTAGACATAGAGGTTCTCCAAGTCCCCACTAGACTGGGTAGCCCAGCTAGCTTCACCCAGTGGATCCCGCACTGGGGCCGCAGGTGGAGCTGCCTGCCAGTCTCGCTCCCTGCGCCCGCACTCCTCTGCTCTTGGGTCCTCAATGGGACTGGGCGCCTCGGAGCAGAGAGCCACGCTCGTCGGGGAGGCTCGGGCCTTGCAGGAGCCGACAGCGTGGGGCAGGGGAGGCTCACGCATGGCGGGCTGCAGGTCCTGAGCCCTGCCCCGCGGGGAGGCAGCTAAGGCCTGGCGAGAAATCGAGCGCAGCCTCGGTGGGCCGGCACTGCTGGGGGACCCCGTGCACCCTCCACATCTACTGGCCTGGGGGCTAAGCCCCTCACTGCCCAAGGCCGGCGGGGTCGCCCGGCCGCTCCGAGTGCGGGGCCAGCCAAGCCCACGCCCACCCGGAACTCTAGCTGGCCGGCAAGCGCCGCGCGCAGCTCCAGTTCCTTTCCGTGCCTCTCCCTCCACACCTCCCAGCAGGCTGAGGGAGCCGGCTCCGGCCTCAACCAGCCCAGAGAGGGGCCCCGACAGCGCAGAGGCGGGCTGAAGGGCTCCCTGAGCATGGCCAGAGCGGACGCCGAGGCCGAGGAGGCACCAAGAGCAAGCGAGGGCTGCCAGCAGCTGTCACCTCTCTCTGGGATTACAGGCATGAGCCACCTCCCCCTCTCCCCGTCTCCCCCTCTTCCCCTCTCTCTTCCTCTCCCCCTCTCTCCCTCTCTCCCTCTCCTCTCCCCCTCCTCACCTTCTCCCCTCTCTTTCTCTTTTTCTTCTGCAGTCTAGCTCTGTCGCCTAGGCTGGAGTGCAGTGGTGCGATCTTTGCTTACTGCAAGCTCCGCCTCCCAGATTCAAGCAATTCTCCTGCCTCAGCCTGCGGAGTAGCTGGGATTACAGGCTCCTACCACCACGTCCGGCTACTTTTTTTGTATTTTTAGTAGACACGGGGTTTCACCGTGTTCGCCAGGATGGTCTCGATTTCCTGACCCCGTGATCCGCCCACTTCGGCCTCCCGAAGTGCTGGGATTACAGGCATTAGCCACCTCGCCCGGCCCCTCCTTCCCTTCTTATGATAGATGGTAACATTATCATAGTGAACACCTCCAATATCATGGTGAACAGGTGAATCGCCTCCAAGTAGCTATGTCCTGAGGAGACCCCTCTTGCATCACTGCTGGCCTTGACTGCGTGACTCGCTTTAGCCAATGAGCCATCGGCAAATAGGTTGCAAGCAGAGGCTTGGTAAGCCCTTTCTTACACGTGGCGCCTGCTCTCTTGGAACATTGGTGTGAGGAAGCCCACTCAAGCCTAGAGGATGAGAGGCCTTGTGGAGAACTGACAGGCCCCAGTAGACAGCCAGTGCCAACTGACAGACTGTCACGAGGCCATCTTGTGACCACAGGAGACCAGAATATGCCACCCCAAAATATGCCTCCTTGGCATAAGGATTGAGTGAGAAACAGGAGACACAGGACAAGCTCTGAAAACAGAGTAGAAGTTACCCCCCCCCCCTTTTTTTTTTTTTTTGAGATGGAGTCTTGCTCTGTCACCCGGGCTGGAGTGCAGTGGCGCAATCTCAGCTCACTGCAACCTCCGCCTCCCGAGTTCAAGCGATTCTTCTGTCTCAGCCTCCTGAGTAGCTGGGATTACAGGCGCCCGCCACCACGCCCGGCTAATTTTTGTATTTTTAGTAGAGACGGGGTTTCACCATGTTGGTCTGGCTGGTCTCGAATTCCTGACCTCATGATCCACCAGCCTCGGTCTCCCAAAGTGCTGAGATTATAGGCATGAGCCACCGCGCCCTGCTGAAGTTACCTTTTTGTAAGAGAATTTTACACGTAAGGAAATCTCCATTTATAAGGATGTTTCCCTCTGCACCAGAAAGAGGAGGATTAAATCAATAAAGATGCCCATCAATGGAGAAGGCGCTGACTTTTAAATTTGCATGATGAAATTTACCATTGCTTACTGTGCTTTTCCTGCTCAACCTCTCCATAACTTGCCTCCGTCAATTTCCTTTGAGATGAAGATGGTGTTAAAGCCTGAGTTCTAAGCCATCTCTCTGAGAGTCATTCATTTTTCCCTGGGTATCTTCTGGGTGTGGGTATGTATACATGTTAATAAATGTCAGCTCTTCTGTTGTTAATCCATCTTTCATTATGCTGGGGAGGGCACCTAAAAATTATGAAGGGTATAGGAAAAAAATGTCTTTCCTCCCCTATAGAATTGTCAGAGGACTCCAGCCCTAGCAGTGATCCCATGTGAGAAGCCGGTCTTTATTGCTGAGCCTATTTAAAATATTTTCAAAAAGATGACACTATGATTTGGCAGTGAAATGAAAAGGGCACAGAAAACAAATCAGCAGGGCCAAAATTTGAATTTAGTAGAGCAAATATTTGTTTTTAGAGAAATGACCACAAATCCATGTTTTCTTGCATATTTGTTGTGAAGAAATGACCAATTTATTTCATTTATATCAATCTTGTGTGTAAATAAAAAGTAAAGTATGATTTTTAAAAAATGTGTCTAAATGAAGCAAGAGCAGGGGTTGACCAGATAAATATTTCTGACTCTGAAGGCCATCCTGTAGAAGCAGCCAAAAAGGAAACCAGTGAGCTTGGCTGCCTCCCAATTAAACTTTATTTACAAGAACAGGTGGCAGGTTGGATTTGGACCATGAGCTATAGTTTGCAAATCCTTGGTCTAAAAAAACCCTTCAAATTTATTTATTTATTTATTTATTTATTTATTTATTTATTTATTGAGATGGAGTCCTGCTCTGTCACCAGGCTGGAGTGCAGTAGTGCGATCTCAGCTCAGTGCAACCTCTGACTCCCTGGTTCAAGTGATTCTCCTGCCTCAGCCTCCCGAGTAGCTGGGATTACAGGCACGTGCCACCATGTCCAGCTAATTTTTGTATTTTTAGTAGAAACGAGGTTTACTATGGTGGCCAGGATGGTCTTGATCTCCTGACCTCGTGATCCACCCGCCTCGGCCTCCCAAAGTGCTGGGATTACAGGCGTGAGTCACCGCGCCTGCCAGTTTTGCTTCTTGATGAAGTAAAGTTATAGGAAGAGATGTGGGCACACAGACACATCCACATTCTGCAGTGTGGCCCATCCCAGTGTTCTAAATGCAAAGCTGGCTTAGGGGGTGTGCCATCAATGTTCTCTCCTAGAAAACAGGCAGCTGTTATGTTTCAGAGCATGGTTTCCCAAACTGCGATCTATGAAACACGAGAGTTAAGAGAAAGACATGAACGAGATGAACTACTAAAAATAGGGGTGGTTGTTCTATGTTCAAATAAGTTCAAAAAAGATTGCATGTTGCTCCCTGTATCACCAGATGAATGGCTCTGAAATTTCTGCATTATTTTCTCAGCATTTTCCAAATGGATTGGGCCATATCTTTTCTCATCACATCCTTGCAGAGTCTGGTGTTACAAAGAGTGTGATGTTCTAACTTCATGTACTGCAGGTGTGTCCTACAGATGGGGGCTGTTTTCCCAACTATTTAACCGATAGTCTGCAGTAAGAAAATGAAGAAATTGGGCAGATTGGGGAACTTTTATAACAATCTGACATTACTGCAACATCCAGGCAGCATTTTGGTTTTTTTAAAATTAATCCTTTTCATTATATTTTATAATAATGTTACTGTACAACTGATTGGAAAGAAAAAACTTGCTCTTCACATATGGGTAAGAAGCACTTTTTAAAAAAGCAATGGCTTAAAGACATTTCTCATAGACTTTTTTTTTTTTTGGAGACAGAGTCTCGCTCCGTTGGCCAGGCTGGAGTGCAGTGGCATGATCTTGGCTCACTGTAACCTCTGCCTCCCAGGTTCAAGCGATTCTCCTGCCTCAGCCTCCCGAGTGGCTGGGATTACAGACATATGCCACTATGCCCAGCTAATTTTTGTATTTTTAGTAGAGATGAGGTTTTACCATGTTGGCCAGGCTGGTCTCAAACTCCCAACCTCAGATGGTTCGCCCTCCTCAGCCTCCCAAAGTGCTGGCATTACAGGCGTGAGCCACTATACCTGGCCCTGTTCTCATAGACATTTGAATCTCATGGATTAGAAATATTAAGAAGATTAACAAATATATAATGGCCAACTTTTTGGTTTTTCCATTTAATTAAGTGACTTCCATCATCTATTTCTATCATTTCATTTCTAAATATGGTATTTTAACATACAGACAAAAGAGGAAGGACTTCATTTCAAACAAAGGACAGTCCTTTAAACTTCGGAAACATGGCTTTATGAAAAACTTGCTACATCGTCCCTTTTTCTCATTTTGCCGAAGTTCAGTGAGGATTTTATCACGCAGTAGCATTCTTCATAGACTGGGCTGTGAAAATGACTGACTAAGAAAAATGAGTTCTCAGCTTCTAGGTCCAAAAGGAAGAGAGAGGGGAAGCGAGGAGGGGCTTTCCCATAGACTCTTTCTCTGAAGGCACCGAGGGCAAAACCAGAGGAAATCTCTCTTGTGGTTCACAAACAGGAGGTTATTTTCACGCCCGTCTATACATTAAGATGACGCATGAACTGAGAAGTACACCAAAGAATTTTGTAACTTGTTCCACATCAAGCAAATATGTTTGTGTGTGTGTGTGTGTGAGCAGGGAAGGCTAGTCAAATGCTACCATGTATAGTGTGTTCCTAGGACTTGGAGGGCTTTCTGCGTTCCATCTAGCTATTACTGCAGGAGGCAGAGACTTAAGGGAGGCAGGTTGCGGTGACAAAGCCCTGGGCTCCGAGTCAGATGGCCACGTTCTGTTCCTGGTCCTGCCTCTCACTAGCACCTCACGGGCTTGTCATTTTCTTTCTCAGAGCCTCAGTTTCCCTATCTATAAAATGAGGAGGATTCTAAGGCTCTAAATCTATAAGATGAAATAATTACTGCAAATCTACTGGCATGTATTCAGAGCTATTAATTCTTGATCATTTGCTTTATGACCCAGGCGCAATCATTTCCGTGATCATTCCAGACAGATACTGTCATTCTTTCATTCCCTCTCTTTATTCTAATGGTGAAAATGGAAGTTCCAATGGAGAGAGAAAAAAAAAAGGAGAAAGTGTTACCGTGGCAGCCTTTGTGAATATTTTCCTGAAAAATCCACTTCACAGCTCTAAGACTCCTAACTGAGATTTCTTGGTTTGTGGATCCAGGGGCATCTACAGGGTTCATGAGGAGAGAGACAGAAGTGGTTGGAATCAGTCGGGGAATTGTGGAGGGTCCCTAAACAAGCCGAGTTCTTCCTGCAGGACATGGGAATTTGTGTATTTGTTCTCTTTGCTGTTGGCTCTTCCATGGACTGTTTTTCTTTAGACACCAACGAACCAACAAAACAAACCATTAGGGAACCACCTATTCCTTGATCCACCTCTGTGAATCTTTTACTTAATGAGTCATGGAAATCGAATGCATTAAAGACTTAATTTTTAGAATGTAATATATTAGCCTTTAAATATGATTTAATGTCTATAATAAGGATTCAAACACACAAACTACTTAGCTGAATTTCTAAAACACATTACAGGAAAATTATTTCCCTATGACAGGTGTTCTCAAAGGCTAGCATACCTCAGAATCACCTAGGCTTGAGAACGCAGATGGCTACCCCTCCCTGCAGAGTTTCTGATTCTGCGGGTCTGGGGAGGGGCCAGATAATTTCATTTCCAAGTTCCCAGTGCTGACTGCTCTAGGAACCATACTCTGAGAACTGCAGAGGTACAAGAAACTATACCTTTTGATGATGATCTTAGAATGCACGTTTTGGGCTGAGCAGGGTGGCTCACACCTGTAATCCCAGTATTTTGGGAGACCTAGGTGGGAGGATCATTTGAGCCTAGGAGTAGGAGATCAGCCTGGGCAATATAGCAAGATCCCATCTCTATTTTTATTTTATTTTATTTTATTTTTTAAGACAGAGTCTCACTCTGTCGCCCAGTCTGGAGTGCAGTGATGCAATCTCAGCTCACTGCAACCTCCACCTCCCAGGTTCAAGCAATTCTGTCTCAGCCCTTGAGTAGCTGGGATTATAGGCGTGTACTCTGCAGGGAGGGGTAGCCAATAATTTTCCTGTAATGTGTTTTAGAAATTCAGCTGAGTGGTTTGTGTGTTTGAATTCTTATTATGGATATTAAATCATATTTTAAGGCTAATACGTTACATTCTAAAAATTGTGTCTTTAATGCATTCAATTTCCATGCCTCATTAAGTAAAAGATTCATGGAGGTGGATCAAGGAATAAGTGGTTCCCCAGTGGTTTGTTTTGGTGTTCGCTGGTGTTCAATAACAGCCTGGCCAACATGGAGAAACCCCGTCTCCACTAAATACAAAAAATTAGCTGGGCGTGGTGGCGCATGCGTATAATCCCAGCTACCTGGGAGGCTGAGGCAGGAGAATCACTTAAGCCTGGGAGGTGGAGGTTGCAGTGAGCCCAGATTGTGCCATTGCGCTCCAGCCTGGGCAACAGGAGCAAAACTCCGTCTCAAAAAAAAAAAGCATGTTTTATACTTATTTTGTAGAGGAAGAGAAGAGATCCCAACATTCTTCCACTTCTTCCCAAAACATAGGTGGAGTTGAGGAGATTGGTCCTATAGGGTTTTCTTTTAATTATAATTCACCCTTCGATAGTGTGGATTTGAATTGAGTGGATCCACTTATACCGGAAATTTTTTCAACCAAAGGTCGATGGAAAATACAGTATTTGTGGGATGTGAAATCCACATATAGGAAGGGCTGACTTTTCCTATGCTGAGTTCCTTAGGGAAGGACTTGAGTGTGCATGGATTTTGGTATATGTGGGGGTCCTGGAAACAATCCCCCCATATACTGAAGGACGACTGTATAGTTTCACATAAATACTAAATCTGCCACTTCACCGTCTCCTTCTTCTTTCCTCGAGTTTCCCTTGGTGGCAACTGTGAAATAGTCTGGACTAGCATCCAACTCCTCCTCATCCCACAATTTTTTATAAAGACAGTCCTCTCTTATTGATTTGTAATTGGCCACTTTATATAAAAAGGTGATTAAACCTTTATCAGTTACATAAGCTGAACATTTTTTCCCCACCTTGACTTTTATCTTGAACATTTCTTGTTTAAATTGTTTAGATGTATTTTATGTTAGTGGGATCTTTTCTTATTATATTTCTTGGAGATTATTATAAGAAAGCTGTTGAATGTCTTATGTTTTAGTTCCTTCCTATCTTTTTAGGAAGTCACAGAAGGATGGGAAGAAATAAGAAGTCACTGGGGTCCCAGGTGACTCAGAGATTGCCCAGACCTCTGACCAGCTCTCAGACAACACTTTGGTCAGTCTCGGACTCTGCTAAAAATGTGAGTATTCAGCAGACTGTGTGCAAAGGAGCCCCAGACCTTGAAGAAGAGAGGGAATTTGTATCATAATATTCTGGTGTCTTGCCATAATTACAACTAGAAGGAAGGCTGATTGGAGGGCATCTTTGTACTTCTTTGCACTATCAGTGAATGGATTCTGTCTAGAATAGATAGCCCACAGATTTAGGGAAAATGCAGTTCGTTTTTATAGGATTCTCTTACAGCTTCTGGCCAACATTTTCAGAATGGAGGAGCCTAGATAGATCACATAATCTGGTCTTTGTAGCTAACCACACCGTGTCTCTTTTCCAGGCCACAGGTTATATGAGAGAGAGAGTGCTCTTAAGCATGTGGTCCTGGCACCTCTTCCCTCAACAGGTGCATGCAGAGTCAGGGTCCATTAGCAAACAAGTGCCCATAACAATGAAGACAAAAAGCCTAGGGTATGATTTTAAGAAAGATGGCCCAAGAGGAATGGGAGGTTCTAAAGAACAAGAATCAAACAACATCGAGACCAATGACTCCAAAAAGAAATTAGACACAGGGGCTATTTGATCATCTCTGTTCCAAAATGGTAGAGACAGATGGCATAAAAATAAAAATAAATAGCATGAACCCATGTAAGTATTGGGAGCAAATTATGGTCCTAAATGAACTAAGGCTTGTGGAAATTGAAAGGAAAACAGAAAGGGCGCTTCAGTTATGTTTAATAGAAAGAAAGGAATAGATAAAGTTTAAAAAGCCAGTGACTCCAAAATAGCCAAACAATCTTTAAAAAGGACAAAAATGAAGAACTCACACTTACTGATCTTAAAACCTACCATAAAGCTACAGTAATCAAGACAATGTGGTATTGACATAACAGTACCAATGACATAGATCAAGCCTGTCCAACCCGTGGCCCATGGTGACTTTGAATGCAGCCCAACACAAATTTGTAAACTTTCTTAAAACATCATGAGTTTTTTTGCAAATTTTTTTTTTTTTTTTTAGCTCATCAGCTATCATTAGTGTTAGTGTATTTTCTGTGTGGCCCAAGACAATTCTTCTTCCAATGTGGCCCAGGAAGCCAAAAGATTAGACACCCCGATATAGATAACTATGGTCAATTGATTTTCAACAAGGTTTCCATGACAATTTGATGCAGGAAAGAATAGTCTTTTCAACAAATAACACAGAAATAATGGAATATCCACATAAAAAAGAATGAATTGGGATCTCTACCTCGTATCTTTAACAAAAATTAAGTCAAAATGGATCAAAGATCTAAATACGAGAGCTAACAGTAAAACTTACAGAAGAAAACATAGGAGTCAATAAATCTTCATGACCTTGGGTTAAGCAATAGTTTCTTAGATAGGACACCAAAAATGCAAGTGACAAAATAAAAGATTTGACTTCATCAAAATTAACAACTGTTGTGCTTCAAAAGATACAATTAAGAAAAGACAAACCAGGTGCGGTGACTCATGACTGTAATCCCAGCACTTTGGGAGGCTGAGGTGGGCGGATTACTTGAGGTCAGGAGTTTGAGACCAGCCTGGCCAACATGGTGAAACTCTGTCTCTACCAAAAAATACAAAAATTAGCCCGGTGTTGGTGGTGCATGCCTATAGTCCCAGCTACTTGGGAGGTTGAGGTAGGAGAATTGCTTGAACCCGGGAGGCAGAGGTTGCAATGAGCCAAGAACGTGCCACTGCACTCCAGCCTGGGCAACAGAGCAAGACTCTGCCTCAAAAAAAATAAAAAATAAGGCTGGGTACAGTGGTTCATGCCTGTAATCCCAGAATTTTGGGAGGCTGAGATGGGTGAATCACCTGAGGTCAGGAGTTTGAGACCAGTCTGGCCAACATGGTGAAACCCCATCTCTACTAAAAATACACAAAATTAGCTGGGCGTGGTGGCCCGTGCCTGTAATGTCAGCTACTTGGGAGGCTGAGGCAAGAGAATTGCTTGAACCCAGGAGGCAGAGGTTGCAGTGAGCCGAGATCGTGCCGCTGTACTCCAGCCTGGGACACAGAGCGAGACTCTGTCTCCAAAAAAAAAAAAATGAAAAGAAGACAACCCACAGAATGAAAGAAAGTATTTGCATATCATAGTATCATGTATCTAATAAGGGGCTTGTATCCAGAATATATAAAGAACTCTTACAATTCAATAATGAGACAAGTAACCCGATTGAAAAGTGGGCAAAGCATTTCTGCTGAGTAGATACACAAATGGCAAATAAACGCATAAATAGATAGATGTTTGACATAGTTAGTTATCAGGGAAATTTAAATCAAAGCCACAGTGAGATACCAATTTACATCCACTAGGATGGCTAGAATTAAAAAGTTAGATAATAACAAGTGCTGACAGGGATGTAGAGAAATTGAAATCCTCGTGCATTGCTGGTTGGAATGTAAAATGGTACAGCCCCTTTGGAAAACAGTCTGGCAGTTCCTCAGTTAAGCAAGAACATGACCCAGAAATTCTGTTCCTAGTTGTATACCTAAAAGAAATGAAAGCAAATGTCCACACAAACATTTTTACATGAATGTTTATAGTAGCATTATTCATACTAGCTTAAAAGTGGAAACAATTCAAATGTCTATCAACTATTGAATGGACAAACAAAACGTGATATACAATGAAATATTATTTAGCCATTAAAAATGTAGTACTGATAGGCCAGGCGCGGTGGCTCACGCCTGTAATCCCAGCACTTTGGGAGGCTGAGGCAGGCGGATCACAAGGTCAGGAGATCGAGATCATCTTGGCTAACACGGTGAAACCCCATCTCTACTAAAAATACAAAAATTAGCCAGGCGTGGTGGCAGGCGCCTGTAGTCCCAGCTACTCAGGAGGCTGAGGCAGGAGAATGGCGTGAACCCGGGAAGCGGAGCTTGCAGTGAGCAGAGATCGCGCCACTGCACTCCAGCTTGGGGGACAGAGCGAGACTCCGTCTCAAAAAAAAAAAAAAAAGTAGTACTGATACATGTTACAACATGGATGTACCTTGAAAATATTATGCTAAGTGAAAGAAGCCAGTTTTTAAAGGTCACATATTATATAATCCTATTTATATGAAAATTCAGAATAGAGAACTCTCTGGAACAGAAATTAATTTAGTGCTTATTTAGGGCTGGGTGGTAGGGATGGGAATGGGGAAAGAGGAGAGGGGAGAGAAGAATAGAATGATAGCTAAGGGGCACGAGTTTCTTTTTCAGGTGATGAAAATGTTCTAAACACATTGTGCTGGTTGCCCTTATGTGTGAATATGCCAGACACCACTGAACTGAGCACTCCAAACAGTATTCACCTTTTCCATTTTCACCTTTACCTCATCTTGTCAAAGGGTGGTCAGTAGTCAACTAATATACCTTTTTTTTTTTTGTTTTTTTTGAGACGGAGTTTCGTCTTGTCACCCAGGCTGGAATGCAGTGGCACAATCTCGGCTCAGTGCAACCTCTGCCTCCCGGGTTCCAGTGATTCTCCTGCCTCAGCCTCCTGAGTAGCTGGAATTACAGGTGCCTGCCACCATGCCCAGCTAATTTGTGTATTTTTTAGTAGAGATGTGTTTTTGCCATGTTGGCCAGGCTGGTCTTGAACTCCTCACCTCAGGTGATCCGCCCTCCTCGGCCTCCCAAAGTGCTGGGATTACAGACATGAGCCACTATGCCCAGCCTAGTATACCTTGAGGATCCTTTTTGGCAGCAAAGCGATCCACATATTCCTCTTTTCTTATGGTGATATAATGTGGAACTGAATAGACTAATTTTTATGGCAACTGAGGAGTCTTCACTATTTACTATTACTATTACTAACAGTAATAGTCTTTACTATTTAGTAACTAATTATTATTTAGTAACTAATTACTAAATAGTAAAGGAAAGTATAATTTCGTTTTCAAAAATTAAAATCAATGCATTACTAGGGTTTATATTCAATATCCCATTGCTGAGTCTGGCTTCTTATTAAACTTGCCAATCTCATGAAGCTCCTACTGCATACACACATGAATGGATCTCATTGGAACTCCATAAGGGCACTTTTTTATCAGTGTGATGCTGAGTTGGTTTTGTTTTCAATTGCTTTTCTTGTTTTTAAATCATTATTATTAGTCTTACAATTTAATTTGTTATAGCCTGCTTTGCTAACGCTAACCCCAGACTGCAGAGGTGTATGTTTGGCTTAACAATATTTGGGTCTGTAATGTTTCAATGTAAGGCATCTATCACTTAAGGTAAAGCACATATTTTCCTAAAACTTACTTGTACAGTGCCACTTCATTGGTGATATGTGATGCCTGAATCTGCTATTTGAATAACTTGCATCACACTCTTAGAGTAACACTATTTCTGTATTAACGATTTATGTGCAGGTTTATTGTGTATCAGGGCAGGACTAGGGTCAAGTGATGAGGCATTCACTCTCAGGGTTATGTGAGTGCTGACCCTGAACGTGAACACCTTCTTGAGTTGTATACCCCAGGTGTTTCACATGTCTCACCCTAATCTTGACCCTGTGGTCCCTTACAAAATCCCTACACATAAGGCCATAAAAAAATAAGTCATTCAAGGCTGGGTGTGGTGGCTCACGTCTGTCATCCCAGCACTTTGGGAGGCCGAGGTGGATGGATCACCTGAGGCCAGGAGTTCGAGACCAGCCTAGCCAACATGGTAAAACCACATCTCTACTAGAAAATACTAAAAATACAAAAAAAAAAATTAGCCTGGCGTGGTGGCGGGCACCTGTAATCCCAGCTACTCTGGAGGCTAAGGCAGGAGAATTGCTTGAACCTGGGAGACAGAGGTTTCAGTGAGCCGAGATCGCACCACTGCACTCCAGCCTGGGCAACAGAGTGAGGCCATCTCAAAAAACAAACAAACAAACAAAAACAAAAGTCATTCATGAATGTTGGTAACATGAGTTTCAGAATCCATTTCTCAAATTCTTTGTTGACTAATTTGGGAATAAGAAGTAAAGTTGGGCCGAGTCTTATCACATTGTTCCTTAAAAACAGAAACTTTCCTGCCGTGGTCAGAGGAAGATGGGATGAGGGAAGAACAGTCAGAGAGATGCGATGTTGTTGGGTTTGAAGATGGAGAAAGATGACCAGGTGCCAAAGTATGTGGGCAGCCTCTAGAAGCTAGAAAAGATGAGGAAACATGCTCCCTAGACCCTCCAGTTAGGACTGCAGCCCTGCCAATGCCTTGAATTTAGTCCAGTGAGACCCACGTCAGACTTCTGACCCATAGAACGGTAAGATCATAAATTTGTGTTAAAACAGCCACTGAGGCTGGGTGCCGTGGCTCACGCCTGTAATCCTAGCACTTTCAGAGGCCGAGGCGGGCAGATCACCTGAGGTCAGGAGTTCGAGGTCAGCCTGGCCGATGCGGTGAAACTTCGTCTCTACTAAAAAAAGTACAAAAATTAGCCGAGTGTGGTGGTGTGCACCTGTAATCCCAGCTACTCTGGAGGCTAAGGCAGGAGAATGGCTTGAACCCAGGAGGCGGAAGTTTCAGTGAGCCAAGATCGCGCCATCGCACTCCAGCCTGGGTGACAAGAGCGAGACTCCATCTCAAAAACAAACAAACAAACAATCAAAACCAGCCACCGAATTTTTGGTAATCTATTACAACAGCCATATGAAACTAATACACATCCTGAGATAAATGAACATTTTAGGTATTGTTTTTTGGTTTTTATATACTGTAGCTTGGTGGGCTAGAGGGTGGGGATCTGGCTTTACTATTTGAGGTGCAAATAGCAGTTCCAGAATCCCCACTTGTTCTGATGAGCAGAACAAGCTGCCTTCAGGTGGAAAGGCCCCAGGGCCTCCCTTGGTGCTGCAGTGCCAGCTGCGATGCTACAGTTGTTGCCACCAAAGCTGTTAACTGGATATTGTTGCTGAAACTCAAGGCCACGTGGACAGATGTGTCTATTCTGGCAGGAGCCAGAGTTCACTGCCAATATCCAAGGCCCAGTACCTCTATTTGAATGAAAGAGGACCTATCAAAAAAATTTAGAAAACCGTTTTCAAGAGCTAAAGAAAAATTTGAATCTTCTGATTAAAAGTGCCTTTTTTTTTTTAACTTGAGGTGGAGTCTTTCTATGTTGCCCAGGCTGGTCTTGAACTTCTGGGCTCAAATTATCCACCCACCTCAGCCTCCTGAGCAGCTGGTATTATAGGCATGTGCCATTGAGCTTGTCTTTTAAAGTAACTATTGAGTGTCAGACAGTTAATTTTTAAAAGAAATCCACACATTAGATACTTTCTGATAAAATTTCAAGTCTTCAAAGTCAAAGAAAAAAAAATCCTAAAAGATTATATAGCAAATAGATTATCTAGAAAGGAAAAAGATCTAATTAGTAACAGAGTCCTCATTAGTGACATTTGATACAAAAAGTGATCAGAGCAAAGTTCCAAGGGAGATTATCTTAAATTCAGAATTATGTACCCAACAAATCTATCATTCAAGAGTGAAAACAAATATAAGAGCTCAAATAGTGTATACTACTTTCAGAACATTTATTAATAATTACCCAAATATGTACTCTAATTTTATAAAATATTAATTTAAGAAAGAGATAAATGGAATATAAGAAAACATAGCAAGCAGAGAAATAAGTTAAACTCATAGTTAAGTGTAAGTAGTTGTTGATAACATTATTTTGGTGCTCATGGTAATTGTGAAGAAATTGCCTAAGAACTGCCTAAAAAGTAGAGGCAAAGATTTGATAAATCTGGTGTATCCTCTCCTCCTGTCCTAATTTCTACTTTTGACAGAAAAGGTCTTTCTCTTTCAACTCTTATAGCTTTTTTCTTTTTCTTGCCTTATCGAGCTGGCTACAGTTTCCTTTAAAATGTTGAATATGAAAGTGGTAATGTCATCCTTATTACTTTAAATAAAATACTTCTGAGATTTCATCTTTAAGAATAACATGTTTGGGCCAGGCATGGTGGCTCATGCCTGTAATCCCAGCACTTTGGGAGGCCGAGATGGGCGGATCACGAGGTCAGGAGATTGAGACCATCCTGGCTAACACAGTGAAACCCCATCTCTACTAAAAATACAAAAAAAAAAGAAAAAAGAAAAAAGAAATTAGGTGGGCGTGGTGGCAGGTGCCTGTAGTCCCAGCTACTCAGGAGGCTGAGGCAGGAGAACGGCGTGAACCCGGGAGGCGGGACTTGCAGTGAGCCAACCAAGATCACGCCACTGCACTCCAGCCTTGGCAACAGGGCAAGACTCCGTCTCAAAAAGAAAAAGAATAACATGTTTGCAGTAGATTTTTGGTTGGGAGTTATACATCCAACTTATCCGTGAGTTTGCTCATTTAGCCTCTTTGCCTTTGCTTCTTTGGAACCAAACCAGGTCCATAGACATTCTTTCTGTCAGTTCAGGCATTCTGATCGCACTGCTATAAAAATAAGCCAGGACTTGTGCTTTTGTTCCTCTAAGAGTGTCCTCTCACCTTGGAGAAGTCGACTTTGCTGGCTCTTTCTGAGATTTGTGGAAATCAATATCCCCTGCCTGCTTCTTCCCACATGCAACACTGTTTGATCTTTGCTGCTTTGGAAGCTCCTTCACATACTTTGTGGTTTACAGTTTCTATTTCTTCTAGTTTCAATAAAGTTAGAGTTTCTACTTCTCATTCTTCTTATGGCTTTTTGATATTATCCACTGAAGGGGAGTGCTAACTTTTTATTGACATCATCCAGTAAAAATCACAGCCGAATTCTTATCAGAACCTTACAAGCTAAACCTAGTACTAATTGGCAAGTGCAAGGACCAAAAATAGCCAAGAACATTTTGAGCATAATAACTGAAATGATGCTATTGCTATTAAAAAAATAGACTAATGGAAAATAATAGCTTAGAAACTGACCCAAGGAACTTGGACTGAGAAGGAAATAGCACTAAAAATCAGCACTATTCAATAAATGGTACTGGAAACATTAGCTATCCAAATGGATAAAGATAATATTAGATGTATTGCTTATGCCGCTCCCCACAAATAATTTTCAGATATGTTAAAATGGTAAATCAAAACCAGAAAAACAATTAATAGAAAATATGGGAGAATATTTTTATGGTCTCAGGGTAGGGAAGGATTTCTTAGAGAAGGCTTAAAATGTATAGACCGTTATAGTACCAGGATGGCTGGAGTAACAAGGGAGGAGGTGCAAGCTGGGTGTGGTGGCTCATGCCTATAATCCCAGCACTTTGGGAGGCCAAGGCAGGAGGATTGCTTGAGGCCAGGAGTTCAAGACCACCCTGAGCTACATAGGGAGAACCTGTCTTTACAAAAAATAAAAATAAAATTAGCCAAGTGTGGTGGCACACACCTGTGGTCTTAGCTACTCAGGAGGCTGAGGCAGGAGAATTGCTTTAGCCCAGGAGGTTGAGGCAGCAGTGAGCTGTGATTGCGCCACTGCACTCCAGCCTGAGCAACAGAGTAAGAAGGTGTCCACCATGCTGCCCCACAAAGAAAGAAAGAAAGGAAGGCAGGCAGGCAGGCAGGAAGGAAGGAAGGACAGACAGAAGGAAGGAAGGAAGGAAAGAGAAAGAAAAAAAAAGAAAGAGAAAGAAAGAAAGAAAAAGAGAGAGAAAGAAAGAAAAAGAGAGAGAGAAAAGAAGGTGAGAGGCCCAAGGTGAGGAGGGAGGAACAAGAGTTGGGTAGACCCTGTGGCAACCTGCAGGCTTTAATGAGTTAAAGACTTTTTGGCAAAGTGGCAAAAGTGCTTGAAGCAGGAAAGTAATCCTATCAAATTTGTGTTTTTAAATATTAGACTGGCTGCAATGGGTTGCAAGGGGACGGGGAGATATTAGGAGACCAATCAGGAAGCAGTTGCAATAGAGCAAATGATGAAGATGGCATGGATTGGAATGATTGCAGAGTGAATGGTAAGAATAGAATGGTTACAAGAAATAGACAGGATGTAGACTCAGCAGAACCTGGTGCTTGTTTGGATTTGTGGAGTGAGGGAGGAGTTGGGGTCATCTTGGGATATGCTGATTTTAAGGACCCAGTGAGACACCCAAGAGGAGAGGTTGAGAAACCAGTTGAGCATGTGCGTTTCGAACTTTAAAAATGTATTTGAGCTCCAGGTTTAAATTTGGAATTATCATGTGTAGATAGTAATTAAGGTTGTAAGGGTGACGAGAACACCTAGAACAAGGCATAAACTCTGGCCCTTGGGCTGGCCATATGTTTCTGTATAGCCCGCAAGCTAAGAATTGTCTTTATATGTTTGAATGGTTACGGGAAAAAAATCAAAAGAATAATATTTTCTGACATGCGTTAATTATATGAAGTTTGAGAAGAGAGGAGAAAGTCTGAAGTAGTCGTTGCTGGTAGTGGAAATGTGTGACGATCAGATCATCATAGCAACTGCCTGGCTGGAATTGAGGATCCAGTTGAAGCAGTAGGTTGAGAACATACAGAGATAATGTTCTGCTTGGTTGTGCAATTTCTGCGCTAATGCTCAGCTGTCTAAACGTAGAGATAATGGATATCTGAATTTGTTATAGGACTGTGGATTTCCAGATGGGTACAACCAAAAGACAAAGGGGCAAAAAGAATGTTTGCAAAAAGACAGATTGACAGTAGGTATTATGAATGGCAAAGAAAAATAAGCTAGGAAGAGATGAATGGAGAAGGGGAAGGTCAAGGGAGTAAAATGTGTAAAAAAGGGGAAGTGATGGTGTTTAGTTATGCAAGCTGCAAGGGGATGAAGGAAGTGGTTAGATTAAATCAGACTGGGGCAATGGGCAGGTTTGGGGGTGTTTGTAAAAGTTTATTTTAACATGATAACGTCCTTACACTAGAAAAGAAATGTCAGATTGTTTTAGAAATGGAAAAATCGTCTATGCCATCATGAGATAGGGGAGAAGTACTTGTTTCATATTAAATAGTTTGGTTTGAATCTTCATTTCACTACTTGTTAGCTGTGTGGCAATGTCTGCTTCTGTAAAAGGAAAAATCAACACAGGACCTGTATCATGGGAATGTCAGGATGAATAACTGAGACAGTCTTTAGAAAGCACTTAGCACAGTGCCTGGCACATACTAAGAATTCAATAAATGTTAATTATTGATGTTGCTGATGTATTACAGGTTGAATCTGTAATGCTTGGCACCAGAAGTGTTTCATATTTTGGATTTTTTCAGATATTGGAATATTTGCATTGTGCTTACTGGATGAGCATCCCAAATCCAAAATCTGAAGTCCTAAATGTTCCAGTGAGTATTTCCTTTGAACATCATGTTAGTGCTCAAAAAATTTCAGATTTTGGAGCATTTTGGATTTCAGAATTTTGGATTTGGGGTGCTCAACCTATACATGGAACCGAATCATTATCTCAAGTTTTTTTGTGTGTGTGTGAGATGGAGGAGTCACTCTATCACCCAGGCTGGCACGCAGGGGCACGATCTTAGCTCACTGCAACCTCTGCCTCCCAGGCTCAAGCCATCCCCCTCTCTCAGCCTCCTGAGTAGCCTAGGGACTACAGGCACACACCTCCATGCCCAGCTAAGCAAGTCCTTTAATCTAACAACAATCGTGGGCCTCAAAAGTGACTCTTTTGTACATATCCAGCTGATCCTGAGTAACTCTGATTTCTCTTGGAATATAAACATGAATTCTATGGGAGTCACATGGATCTTGTAGTTAATAGTTACTACAAACACGGCCCCAAAGCCTTGTGACCAGCGTTGCTGTAGTCTGTGAAATATTGGATTGTAAATTTTTTCTTACAAGATTGCTAGCACAAAACTGAATTTAATATTTTAAACATTTAAATATAATTTAATATACTGACAAAACGAGCTGGAAAAGATACTACTTATTCATATTGTTATTCAAATGTTTACTGTTGCCTGTAAGGGAGTACTACATACAGTACTCAACAGTGAACATTTAATTCGACCGTGTATAAGGAATTAAGGGCACTGAATATGACTGAGCCTTTTCTAAAAGGATTCCCAAACTGGATATGAAGAGAAATAGACATTAGATAAAATGTCAGAAATCCAATCACAGAGGAGAAATAAAAGTGATAAGGGAGTAGAGGGGAAGAAGGATTAATTCTGCCTGGGACAGTCAGATAAATGAATCTCTGTCCTTAGATCTGTTTATTTTAAGCCTACTCAAATATCTCAATGGCTCCTTCCTAGCCAGGGCAGTGTGGCATGAATGGAAAGGAAGGATCGGATCCAATAAATCCTCCTGGTTTAGAAACTAAAAGGAATGTGGGAGTCATTGAAAAGGGAAGAATGCAGGATGTTTCAGAAGATTCTGCCTTGAATGAAGACAGATGAATAGAGGAGGGTGAGAAGGTTGAGAGCTAGCGAGTGAATTTTCCTGTTCAGGGGGCAGTTGAAAGAAATGCCTCTGGGCTGGGTGTGGCTCATTCCTGTAATCCCAACACTTTGGGAGGCTGAGGGCAGGTGGATCACTTGAGGTCCAGAGTTCAAGACCGGCCTGGGAAACATAGTGAGACCCCATCTTTACAAAAGTAAAAAAATTAGCCAAGCATGGTGGTGTGCACCTGTAGCCCCAGCTAGTTGGGAGGCTGAAGTGGTAAGATCAGTTGTAACCCATCAGGGTGACACTGAAGGGCAGTGGTGAAAGAAAATTCTGAAGCTGGGTGCGGTGGCTCACGCCTGTAATCCCAGCACCCTGGGAAGCTGAGGCAGGCAGATCACTTGAGGCCAGGAGTTCGAGACCAGCCTGGCCAACATGGCAAAACTCAGTCTTTACTACAAATACAAAAATTAGCTGGGCGTGGTGGCACACGCTTGTGGTCCCAGCTACTCAGGAGGTTGAGGCACAAGAATCGCTTGAACCCAGGAGGCAGAGGTTGCAGTGAGCCAAGAACACAACACAACACTCCAGCCAAGGTGACAGAGTGAGACTCCATCTCAAAAAAAGAAAAAAGAAAAAAGAAAAAAGACAAAAAAGAAAATTCTCTAGTAGTCAGATCTTTGAGTAATTCATTGGTAGTCTGTCTACTTTGGAGAGACAGTTGGCCAGACATATGGCTCTATACTCATTACATGAGCAGTTGCATAGTTGGTCTCAAATGTTAGACTTAGAAAAAACAGGATCGAAAGATTGGTGAACAGGAAACCTGGGGAAGAAAAAGCACAAACGATGAAGATATTTGTGTCCCATGTGAATTCTCACCAGATAGCACACACTACAGAGGAAGACGAGAAAGCTTTTGACTATCAGTTGAAACAAATGACACACTCTGTGTATATCAGCCAGGCACTTTCCCCAGAAAACCCAGTGCTTCCTCAACGGGCCCGTGAACAAAGTGGCTATGGTGGCAGAGATGGAAGCTATGTATGAGCTTGATAGTATGGACTTTCCATTACCAAGGCTGACCGGGCCAGTGTCACTGCGTGCCTAATCTGCTGACAGCAGAGACCAACACTGAGCACTGAAATGGCAGTTTTCTAAGGGGATCAGTCAGCTATCAGGTGGCAGGTTCATTATGCTGACCTCATTCATCATCGAAGGAATAGAGATTTGCCTTCACTAGAATAGACACGCATTCTGAATATGGATCTGACTTCCCTACCCACAGTCGTCCTGCTAGCACCACTATCCACGGACTCACAAAATGACTTGTTTTTTGTTTTCTTTTCTTGAGACAGAGTCTCGCTCTGTCATCCAGGCTGGAGCACAGTGGTGAGATCTCAGCTCACTGCAACCTTCACCTCCCGGGTTCAAGCGATTCTCCTGCCTCAGCCTCCTGAGTAGCTGGGATTACAGGTGCCTGCCACCATGCCTGGCTAATTTTCATATTTTTAGTAGAGACAGGGTTTCACCATATTGGCCAGGCTAGGCTGGTCTCGACCTCCTGACCTCAGGTGATCTGCCTGCCTCAGCCTCCCAAAGTGCTGGGATTACAGGCCTGAGACACCGTGCCTGGCCTCACAAAATGACTTATTTGTGATCAAGTCACTCTGTACCATGATAAGAAAACTCATTCTGATCCTTCTTATCAAGGAAACTCATTTGATACAAAGAAAGCATGTCAGTTGACTCACGTCCATAGAATTAACAATTCTCCACACATATCTCATCAGCTGGAAGTGTCTGGCCTTGTTGAAATCCGTAATGGCTTACTGAAGGCTCAGTTCTAGAACGAGTTGGGAGACAACTCCCTAAAAGAATGGATCTTTCTCTTTCCAAAGTAGACTACCAAATATATGACTTGAAGTACTGCTTATTGGAGGATTTTCCTTCACCACTGTCCTTGGGTGCCACATATACTTTGTCTAAGGATACAGTACATGCTTTGAACCAGAGACCACACCTATGGTGCTATCTTCTCTATAGCTAGAACACAAGGGTCTGGGAATGAAGGACTGAAAGTAGGAGTGGCTCATAAAACCCATGCACAGAATTTTGCTTCCTATTCTTACAACTCTGGGCTCTGCTGATCTGAAGATCTTAGTTTCCAAGGAGGGAAGTGTGGTCACCAGGAGGCACAACAGTGGAGCCATCGAATGCAAAGATGATGTTGCCACTTGGCCATTCTGAAGTGCTCGCACCACTTAACCAACAGGGAGAAGAAATAAGTTTCACTCTACTGGCTGGAGTGATTGATCCAAATCTTCAAGAGGAAAATGCATACTGAGCGGAGGCAAGGTGGACTATGGAATTCTCTGGTGGGGGCATCTCTTAGTACTTCCATGCTTAATAGTAAAGGTTAATGGAAAACTACAGCAACCAGAAAGAGGCAAGGCTATTGAAGACTCATACACTTCAGGGAAGATAATTTGGGTCACCCCACCGGGTAAAGAAACTTGACCAGCTGAGGTCTGGCTGAGGCAAGGGAAATCTGGAATGGGAAGTGGAAGAAGAAAGTCATAGATATGATTTTATAATTGATCTTGTGGCCAATTATAAAAGTGAGGACTATAGTAGCTTTGCTTGTATATATTTATATATGCTAACCATTTCTAATTTTCCTTCTTCCCATTGTTATTTTATATACTGGTTATGGGAGGTTAACTCTATTATTTATTCTTTAGGTAACAGAATATTCTGTTGGACTGGACTACATTGGAGGAGTAATTCATTCATATAGCCAGCAATGGATAGAATGACTTTTGAGATTGAGTGTCTCCTAGTTTAAGAGAAAGTATGACAACTTTCCCACTTGCACAAAGGGTAGATGTGTCCCAGGTGGAAACAGAGTTGTTTTGTTGTTATATGGAAGTCCAAATTCCTGTAGGGATACAAATGGAAACAATAGCCAAAGGGGTGGACTGTGCCAGTTACTAACTTGTTGCCTTTCAGCTGTAAATGTATCCTCCTTTGTGATCATGGAGCTGGATCCTGTAAAAATCCTTTCAGCTGTAAATGTATCCTCCTTTGTGATCGGAGCTGGATCCTGAAATTCTTCTTTGCCAGCTCATAATTGTTGTTAGAAAGGCAGGAGAAGGGCCAGGCGTGGTGGCTCACGCCTGTAATCCCAGCACTTTGGGAGGCCGAGGCAGGCGGATCACCTGAGGTCAGGAGTTTGAGACCAGCCTGGCCAACATGGCAAAACCCTGTCTCTACTAAAAATACAAAAATTAGCTGGGCATGGTGGTGGGCACCTGTATCCCAGCTACTCGGGAGGCTGAGGCAGGAGAATCGCTTGAACTCGGGAGGTAGGGGTTGCAGTGAGTCTAGATCGCACCACCGCACTCTCCAGCCTGAGTGACAGAGCGAGACTCTGTCTCAAAACAACAACAACAACAACCCAGGGGAAGGATGCTGCAAGAGGAAGAGAAACAAAGTTCTAGTAGGCTTAACTTCCCTTTAATTAAGCATTGACAGAGCCAATAAACAGATTACAAAAAAGTTATAATACCTAAAACATACCAAATAAGGCATGTTAATTTATATGAATATATGTAGAATTTTATACCTTGAAAACCAAGAATACATGTTTTTTTCAAGTGTCCATAAAACATTTGCTAAAACTGATCATAGATGCAGCCACAGAGCAAACAACTTCCGCGAAGTAGAAATAATACGGATAACATTCTGTGATCAAATGGAATAAAAGAGAAAAATTAAATACTAATTTAAACACACACACACACACACACACACACACACACACACACACACCAGAAATTTTTTAAATGCCACCTGACACTTTAAAAAAACTTTTTTTTTTTTTTGGCTGGGTGCAGTGGGTCATGCCTATAATCCTAGCACTTTGGGAGGCTGAAGCAGGCAGATCACCTGACGCCAGGAGTTTGAGACCACCCTGGCCAATATGGTGAAACCCCATCTCTACCAAAAATACAAAAATTAGCCGAGCGTGGTGCCGGGTGCCTGTAATCCCAAGCTACTTGGGAGGCTGAGGCAGGAAATCGCTTGAACCTGGGAGGTGGAGGTTGCAGTGAGCTGAGATCGCACCATTGTACTCTAGCCTGGGCGATAGAGCAAGACTCTGTCTTAAAAAAACCAAAAACCAAAAAACAAAACAAAACAAAAAACACCTTTTTTTCTCACACAACTCTTTGGTCAAAGAGGAAGCTGAAATTAAAATTGTACAATATCTAGAAAATAGTGATGAAAAGCCTACTTAGAACTTATGAGAATCTCGTACCTAATGCAGTGACCAGAAGAAAATTACAGCTTTAAATAATTAATAAACAAGGAGGAATAAAAGAAAAAGAAACAAACATCTACCAGCAAATGTTAGAAAAAGAATACCAAAACAAAGTTCATAAAAGCAAAATGAAGAATTAATAATAACTGGAAATTAATACATTTGCAAAGAAAAAAATGGCAGAATGAATAAGTGAAATCTGAGTGTTGGGTCTTTGAATTGAAACAAACAGCAAGAAACTGTTAGCTGAGCTAATTTTTTAAAGAAAAAGAGAAAAATCACAGTTACACAAAATAAGAATTGATAAGTAGGAAATTAACGGTAGATATATAAAGAATTTAAAAGATTTATAAGAGATGCATATGTTCAACTCTGAAAATAAATGTGAAAATCTACATGAAATGAATAATTTTCCAGGGAAATATAATTCATCAAAAACCAACTCCAGAAGAGATGAAAACTCTAAGTAGACAATTGACTTGGAAAAAGTAGAGAAAGATGCTAAAGGCTCCCTTCCCATCCCCAACAAACAAGTATGCACTCACCAAACACACACCTAGAAAGTTTCTTATTACAGTTAAGAATAAGAGGATTACCATTATCAATACTATTATTCTGAAAGTAGTTGTTAACAAATTAGATAAACAAATGTACCTCACCTTTGGAAGTTAGGTTAATTTATCATTTATTTGCACATTATATAATTGAATACATGAAAAATCCAAGAGAATCAACTAGAAAACTGTTAAAAAGGATAAGACAGGCCGGTCTCACAGCTATAATCCCAGCAGTCTGGGAGGCCAAGGTGGGCGGATCACCTGAGGTCAGGAGTTTGAGATCAGCCTGACCAACATGGTAAAATCTCGTCTCTACTAAAAATACAAAAATTAACTGGGTGTGGTGGCGTGCACCTGTAATCACAACTACTTGGGAGGCTGAGGCAGGAGAATTGCTTGAACCTGGGAGGCGGAGGTTGCAGTGAGCCGAGATTGTGCCATTGCACTCCAGCCTGGGCAACAGAGCTAGACTCCGTCTCAAAAAAAGAAAAAAAAAAAAAAGGATAAGAGAATTTAGCAATATGGCTGAATTTAAAAATAATATACAAAAATCAATAAACAAAGTAAAATAATCAGAAAAACATAACAGAAATTACTATCCTATTTACAATAACTTCAAAAAATGAAACAGCTATTAAGGTTTTAAATTCTTTTTACTATAGAAGATTTTAAACACACGAAAATTGTAGAGCAATAATTAACTCTGACATACCTATCATCCAGTATCAATAATTATAAACTAATCATGATTCACTTCCCCATCTACCCTCAGATTATTTTGAAGCACATGTGTGAGTTCGTATTATTTAATTCTTAAATATTCAAAGATAGATAAAGATAGATATAAAAGATAGATAATGTAGATTCTATGGAATGTAAGATTCAACATCATAACAAGGAAGAGAGTTTCCAGGTAAGATAAACGCAGACAACAGGCCCATAGAGACAATGTCCAGATTGGGAGGTCAGAGGAAGCCAGACTGGGAGGGCATAAGGAGTGGAACATGGCTGGGTGCAGTGGCTCACACCTTCATGAGGCTGAGGCCGGTGGATGACTTGAGCCCAGAAGTTCGAGATCAGCCTGGATGACATGGTGAAACCCTATCTCTACTAAAAGTACAAAAATCAGCCAGGCATGGTGGCACATGCCTGTAGTCCCAGCTACTCAGGAGGCTGAGGCACGAGACTCGCTTGAGCCTGGGAGGCAGAGGTTGCAATGAGCAGAGATTGCACCACTGCACTGCAGCCTGGGTGACAAAATGAGACTCTGTCTCAAAAAACAACAACAACAAAAAGAGGTGAACAATTGGAAAATAATCATAGTTACTTTACCGATGAGATTAAGCATTTTGAAATAATTAGTGATAAGTATATATAAGAAGTAACGGAAGAAAAAAACCTGAGGCAATCATAAACCTCAGGAAAAACAAAATGTAGAGTCCTTGGCAGCTATGAACAATAGCTTCATAGTTATGATCATGTAAATATTGACAATTGATTTAAAATCACAATATTAAAAGAGATAAGGAAAATTTGTGGGTAGAGGATATAAGCATTCTTAACCACTATAACAGGATATTGCTACTTGATATTAAAATTAATGTATCAAGAAATGGCAGCATAAGCATGTTCTTTGCATAGAAGTCACCATTAGGAGGAACAGCTAAAATATGACAGTTTTTTTTGTGAATTGGGACTGCACATGGGGAGGAGCAGGGCATAAGGCCATAAATCTTTATTATAAGAAGGCTTTTAATAATATTTGATTTTAAAAATCATAATTATACATCACCTTGATTGAAAAATAAAAATTACAGGCTCATGCCTGTAATCCCAGCACTTTGGGAGGACGAGGCAGGTGGATCATGTGAGCCCAGAAGTTTGAGACCAGCCTGGCCAACGTGAAGAAACCCCATCTCTACTAAAATTGCAAAAATTAGCCTGGTGTGATGGCACACGCTTGAATGCCAGCTACTTGGGAGGGTGAGGCAGAAGAATCACTTGAACCCGGGAGGCGGAGGTTGCAGTGAGCTGAGATCATTCCACTGCACTCCAGCCTGGGTGATGGAGGGAGACTTTATCTCAAAAAAAAAAAAAAAATTAACAAAAAAGAAATGAGAAAGGAAACCACACTCAACTGGAATATTGTTGAGTGTAATCCAGAAATGTTTATCTGGACTGTAGGTATCTTGAGACCGCTGGAGTAACTCAATGGCTATTTTATTATAAAGAGCAAAATGGACAAATTCCCTTGTAAGGGCAACGTAACTTGAGCCAAAGTGGATTTTGAGTTGACGTGGAGGTGGGCTCTTCTTTTTATGCTTCTTTAGGACAAAAGCGTGTGCTCTGGTTCTGTACTCTCTATGGGTATATTTGATCCTTTCAGTAGATTTCAGAACAGACACTAAATTAGGTGTAATGTTTGTCCAATTCATTGTTTTCAAATACTGAACTATCTCCCTGTTGGTTTTTAGGGGGAAATCGTGATCACCAGTGTTAGTGACATATCTCCACTGAACAGTTGATGCTATAAGATCTCTCATGCAGGCCAGGTCCGCCTGGAGCCTGGATTTTCCACCATAAATAATATACTCAGACTGTGAGGATATAAATGCATTTGAGAAGCACTCCAATAATTCACTCACAGCAATTTTAAAGTCAATCGTGGCCGCCTTATCAACGTGAATACAGTAGACATTTTGAGGCATGTAAATAGCCCAGAAAAGCCATTCAAACGTATCGAAATCTTGACTGATGGTCATTACATATGCCAAAGGGAATGCAGCTTCTTCTGTGGACAAAGGAGTTGTGATATAGTGGTTCTCTAGCACATAGTAAGGGCAAGAATCTATTCCAAACATTGTGGATAAAGCGCTTGGCAATACTTGCACCGTCTTCCCATTTAGGGCTGCGTCACAGATGTGCAGTCGGGAAAGGGCTTGATATTCACCACCTACGTCATCTATTTGACCACTGTCTGGTTGACTTACATGCACATTGTATAATACTGTGACTATGATTATAATTTGAAGAGTAATGATACAAAGATAACAGCTCCAAACCTTCATTTTAGTTTTTGACACCTGGGGGTAGAAGGGTGGAGAGAAAGAATTCTTCTTTAAGAAATAAATCAATTTCTAAAACATTTTACTTCTCTACCAGTCTCTACATTTGGCCACTTTATCAGTTGCACTCACTTTTCCAGATCCCATTTGCTTATTTTGATGCCTGGCCATTCCTCAGTTGAGTGTCAATTCTGTGGTATTTCTTACTTCTTGTTCTGCAAATGTTCTGATCTTTTAGTCAATGCATCCTCATCCAGGCTGGGCTACCAAGACTACTCAGTGTGACTCACCCTCCTTTCTGTCCTGTGTGGCTGTAACTGGGGAGATGGGGTAAAGGGTTAGTTCCCATTTCCTGTTTCTGTTGTTGAGTCATCTAATTTGTTGTAATTGTGTCCAGTTATATACCTGTCTGTATCTACCTCTCCTTTTGTGGCTAACTTCTCCCTGGGTATGCATATCTGGGTATATTCAAGTAATTTCCCATCTTGCTTATCATTCCTAACCTTTTAAGCAGGAGGATCCTTCCAGATTTCTGTCCGTTCAAGTAAGAGTACTTCATTAGGCATGGCCAGGTCTTAAGAGTTTTTATCCAAAGTGCTCAGCATAGTGCCTGGCACATTTGGGCACTCAGCTGATTCTTCCAATGAATAATTGAATGAGTAACTCATTTCCCTTATTCATTTAGTTTTGAAGGGTCCCAGCAACATTGGATGGCAAAATCTCCCCACAACTGGCTGTGGATTTTAGAGGAGACAGTGTTTCCATATAAACTGCTGTAGACTGTGGAAGATTAGGGACTAAGTTTTAACATGACCCATTACTCATATATATTAATAATTTTGATTATTCATACAATTTCAAACTATTGCTTTTTTTTTTTTCTGAGACGGAGTCTCGCTCTGTCGCCCAGGCTGGAGTGCAGTGGCGTGATCTTGGCTTACTGCAACCTCTGCCTCCTGGGTTCAAGTGATTCTCCTGCCTCAGCCTCCCTAGTAGCTGAGATTACAGGCGCGCACCACCATGCCCAGCTAATTTTTTGTATTTTAGTAGAGACAGGGTTTCACCCTGTTGGCCATGATGGTATCGGTCTCCTGACCTGGTGATCTGCCTGCCTTGGCCTCCCAAAGTGCTGGGATTACAGGCGTGAGCCACCGCGCCCCGCCGCCTTCTCTGATTTTAATTGAGCATTTTTATGATTGTATTGTATTTCATCTACTGATGTAATTTTTAATGGCTGCCGTAGGATTTACTACATACATTAAAAAATATTCTAGGCCAGGCGCAGTGGCTCACGCCTATAATCCCAGCACTTTGGAAGGTTGAGGTGGGCAGATCACTTGAAGTTAGGAGTTCGGGACCAGCCTGGCCAACATGATGAAACCCCGTCTCTACTAAAAATACAAAAGTTAGCCAGGCATGGTGGCGGGCACCTGTAATCCCAGCTACTTGGGAGGCTGAGGCAGGAGAATCGCTTGAAACCAGGAGGTGGAGGTTGCAGCCAATGGCCTGAACTTGAAATAATTCACTTTAACTAACCTGGCGTTAACTTTTTCAATGATTTCTCCTAATATCTTGAGTCCTCCATCACATTATGCCCTGGGCTTATTTCTGCAGTCTGATACTTGATGTTGAATGTCAGTTTCTGAGTCCTGTATTTCTTTGTCAGGAACCCTTTTGGATTGTTCTGCCAGCCCATCTCCTATAGATCCTTCCCAAGATGCAGGTTAGGCTTCCCGGGCTCAAACAGGATTGTCAAGGTTGACCTTCCATTCGGCCACTGTGGATTCTCACCACTTTCAGAGCTTGTAGGTGTTCCTCATGGAAAGGTGACCAGAGTCAGGTTTGCCCATGTCCTCCTCCTCTCAAAGACATTCTTGTTCCAAGGTCAGAAGTCAGCCCTCAGAGGTTGTCCACTTATGTGTTTTCCAATTGGCTTGACCCCTGAATCCCTAAACCAACCCACCCAGTAGAGGGAGGAGTTATAATAGACACCTTCCAGCTCAGGCATTTGTGTTCCCAAACTCCAACTGTGTAGCTCTCTGTTTAAATGGATCCCTGCTCCAATCTCTTGCTTGGCATACGCCACTGTACTCAAGTCTAGGTGTTCAAAAAAAAAAAAAAAAAAAAAAGCAGGGGTAGAAAACTTTTTTCTTATCTTTTGAATTAATATGTGGGGAAAAAAATTAAAAACAACAACACATTGTCACACATAATTATATCAGCCAACAAAAAAGAGATAGCAACTGGGATTTAAAAAATCAGAATCATAACACTTATATTTATTTTCTGCTATTGTAATTCTTAACTCAATAAAAGGTATCTACTAAAAAGCTATATAAAATCTCCAACAACAGTAATTCAACGTGCTTTTTAATGTTGGAAACAACACAAGGAAAGCTGCTACCACTGCTACTATTTAAAATTGCATTATGGGCAGGTGCACGCCTATAATCCCAGCACTTTAGGAGTCCAAGGTGGGAGGATCACTGGAGGCCAGGAGTTTGAGACCAGCCTGGAAAATATCGTGAGACTCCCATCTCTACAAAAATTAATAAAAAATTAGCCGGGCATGGTGGTACACGCTTGGGAGGCTGATATGCAAGGATCACTTGAGCCCAGGAGTTTGAGGCTGAAGTGAGCCATGATCATGCCACTGCACTCCATCGTGGGTGACAGAGCAAGACTTAGTCTCTCTTAAAAAAAAAAAAAAAAAGAAAAGAAAAAGAAAAAAAGAAAGGTCGAACTAAAACAGCAAGTTGTAAAGATATATTATTTTTTATTTATATAATCAATTCAAATATGCCAGTATATCTGTTTTTAGTATGCCCACTGTATATACACTGTATATACAAGCACATACATATAACTATTGTTTGCCTCTATAACTCTGCTGTCCAATGGTAGCCACTAGTCATATGTGGCTATTTAAATTAATTAAAGCTGGCCAGGCACGGTGGCTCACACCTGTAATCCCAGCACTTTGGGAGGCTGAGGCAGGCAGATCACCTGAGATCAGGAGTTTGAGACCAGCCTGGCCAACATGGCAAAATCCCCTCTCTACTAAAAACACAAAAATTAGCTGGGCGTGGTGGCATGCACCTGTAGTCCCAGCTACTCAGGAGACTGAGGCAGGAAAATCGCTTGAACTGGAAGGTGGAGGTTGCAGTGAGCCGAGATTGTGCCATTGCACTCCAGCCTGGATGAGTCCCCTCCATCTCAAAAAAAAAAAAAAAAAAATTAAAGCCAAATAAAATGTTAAAGAATATTTCCCAATCATACTAGCTGCATTTCAAGAGCTCATTAGCTTATGTGAGTGGCAATTATATTGGGCAGTGCAGATGTAGAACATTTTTATCATTGCAGAAATTCTACTGGACAGCACTGCTATAGATTATATCAGTACACTGAGAAAGCACTTGACCAGGTGTGGTAGCTCAAGCCTGTAGTCCAGCACTTTGGGAGGCTGAGGCAGGTGGATCGCTTGAGCCCAGGAGTTTGAGACCAGACAGGATAACATGGCAAAATCCTGTCTCTACAAAAAATACAAAAATTAGCCATGTGCAGTGGAACATGCCTGTGGTTCCAGCTACTTGGGAGGCTGAGGTGGGAGGATCACCTGAGCCCAGGAGGTTGAGGTTGCAGTGAGCCATGACTGTGCCACTGCACTCCAGCCTGGTTAACAGAGTGAGACTCTGTCTCAGAAAAACAAAAACCAAAAAAAGCAAATAAGTGATTATGTCTGGAGAAAGTAGTGCACTTTTTATTCTATATTCTTCATTATTTCCATGTTTATGAGCATGTATGTATTTATTATAGTTTAAAATGTTTTTCGCTTTAGCTTTAAAATATTTTTATTTGAAAAAATATGATGGATAAGATGTCCTTTAAATGATTTTTTTTTTTTTTTTAGTATTGATCATTTTCCATGTGTCTGTTAGAGGCAATATTTATCAAACTTACAATTGAAATGCTGCTCAAAAACATTGGCACTTGATCAGTAATTATGGTAATATTAACATAAAACTTTTTCCTAATGTATATCTTGATTTTTTTAAATGAACAATAGAGGCAGGTAAATAATAAGTTAACTTATTCCTGTCTCAAATTTTAAAAATACTTGTACTCTTACCAAAAAAAAAAAGTTATACCCAATTCAAATGACACTGATCTTCTATTGCGCCCTCTTCTCTCTATCACTCCCAGTTACTCTCTCCAACACCCCACAATGGGAAAGTTTAATGATTTTTCAGTGGATGGATGTTTCTTAGACAGGTATGCATGTATGTATGAATGAATGTAAATTTTGTTTAACACCAGGAGAATTGCCTTGTTAGACATATCCTTTAGTGGATTTTTAACCAATTGTCATATAAAAATACACAGTATCCCCGAAGTGGAAAACAATATATTAATTTATTCCCAAGAAAACAAAACATGGAACCTCATCGAAAACAAACATCAGATACAGTAGTTTCAGGGCATTCCCATGGGCTGTCAGAAACCCACTAGCCCAAACACTATGCTCTTCCAACATTAAAGTATTTAAGACACAGGAGAGATGACCAACAACAGACATGTAAACATCAATTCCAGAAAGATTTCTTGTTCTACATGAGAAACATCCAGTGTAAAACGGTTCCTCTTCTCAGGTGCTGTCATTTAAATAAGTTGAAAAGAGACAATTTTTAAACTCCACTGCTGACCCTGAGTGCATTCGCTATCCCCTCACCTATTTTGTTTTGGGACAAAGTCTCGCTCTGTCACCCAGGCTGGAGTGCAGTGGGGCACTCTCAGCTCACTGTAACCTCCACCTCCTGGGTTCAAGCGATTCTCATGCCTCAGCCTGCCAAATAGCTGGGATTACAGGCACATGCCACAAAGCCCGGCTAATTTTTATATTTTTTAGTAGAGATGGGGTTTCACCATGTCGGCCAGCCTGGTCTGGAACTCCTGGCATCAAGTGATCTACCTGCCTTGGCCTCCCAAAGTGTTGGGATTACAGGTGTGAGCCACCACGCCCGGCCCAAGCCAGAGGTCTTGTAAGGGGACTCATCCCATCATGAGGGTCCTACCCTCGTGACCTCATCTAAACTTCCCTTACCAAAGGCCCCATCTCAAATACCATCACATTGAGGGTTAAGGCTCCAACACATGAATTTTGGGGGGACACAGTCCCATCTATAGCCAATGGCAGTTTGTGCTTGGAGCCCACTCTGGTCACCTTAGTGGGACTGGCCTCTGTGCAAGTGACAGGTTTTCACATGTGGCCTTCAAGAGTTCCTTGTGTGACCAGCTGTCCCTATTCCTTAACACTTTACCACCCAAAACAACTCCATTTTTTTCAGTAGCAAGAAAAAAGGTTTTACTTCAAAGTCATTCCCTTTAAATATGATTGACATTCAACAAGCACAGTTACAGAAAAAAAATAAAATTGTGTTCATTAAATGTGTCATCCATTTGTAGTAATTGCTTTTTGTTAGAATAAATAAATATTTAGAAACTCAACGGTTTAGTATTACAGGAATACTAAAGTAGACTTCACATTTTTTCTGAACTGACAGGACTTTTTCTCAGTATTAACACTGAGACCATTCTTAAAATCTACCTTCTCTGGTATACTAAATATGGCTTTATTTCACCTTCTCTCAGTAAATCCACCTCAGGAAATGAACTGAGAAGACCAGCAACAGAGTCCCAATTCTCACCCAGAGAAATTGTTCCCCGGTGCTATTAACCTTTCTAAGCCTCAGTTACTTCATCTGCAAAATGGGAGTAATTATATAAGGGCCTCACAAGACTGTTGTGAGGTTTGAATGAAATTAGATACATAAAGGAATACCAGAATGGCTGGAACACAACAGGTCCTCCCTCTGTCTCCTCCTTTCTCCCTCTCTGTTGAATAATCTCTGATTTAACCCTTAATTTGTAATTACTGATCTCCTGGGCCTGGTATCATGCTACACAGCCCTGTGTGTTCCTGTATTAAACTACAATCACTCTGTAAGATTCTCCAGAGGAGGCTTTCTGGTGTTGACATTATTGCCAAGATTTTTAGAGTGAAAAAGCTCTTATGTTTCCTTTTTGTCTCAGTACATGTCCTGTACATAATAGACACTCAAGAGATGTTGATTGAAGGCTGAATGAATGAACGGATGGATGAATGAGGGATAAATAACAGAGATGTTCATCTACAATTGAAGGCTCTTAAAAATCGAGCCACTACTATCAGTACCAGGCAGTGTAAAGCTACTCAGAGCATACTATGGTGCAATTAAAAGCCTCACAGGATAGAATTTGGTCTCCATTTTGCAAGTAAGATAATACTGGGGAGAGAGGGGTCATAGAAGAGGAAAGTGTTCCAGACTTCAGACTAGATCTATGTGATAGCACCTCTCTTGAATGCATATCTCCATTCTTGCAAGGACTTTTTAGTGTTCTTAATGGAAGACATGACATAGGGACCAGCCTACATTCTGGCATATAAGAGAGAAATGTTTTATTCCCCGAGGTCCTTTTACTGAAGCAACAGACAGTGAATTCTGTCTTAAAGCATATCCTGTTTCTTGTTAATGACTTTATACTATATACAGAACTTTGTCCATGAGTAAGCCAAAAATGCTAGTGTTGAAACTCAGAAACAAGATGTATTCTCCATTCAGGTAGCTTATGTTTTAAAGGAAATTGGTGAATTACCCAGAAAGCTGTTTCACTATCTGTCTGGTTGAGCACAGTGGTGACTGTTAAGGTGTTATAAAAGATTCCTTCTTCAAAGAAACCTAATTCTTATTTTCCTAGACAGTATTATCTACAATTCTCTTTTTTACTAAAACATTTGTATATGATGAGTATCTGGTGCAAAGATCTGAGGTCATTTAAATTTATCATTGATCCTAACAATAAACTAATATAGAGGTGAGCATCAAGAAACAGCAAGACTAAAATTGGCCAAAGTGCCCAGATTGCTCTACCCAGCCATCCTGTTAGTGTATTTCACAGTGTCCAGTGGATATTTTAAGTATAATTACGTAGCCAGGTCCTGAAGCTATAAACGTGGTCCTGAAACGGTTAACATTACGAAGGCAAAAGTCTCTCACAAAAACAGGCTCCTCTTCCCAGCTGCAGTTTCCCTTCAGTCATGAGTAGCTCATGAATAGCTCAAAAATACCAGCTGGGTTGTATCGCAGTTTCACTCTGATTGAGGGTTCTTTCGCGATGCCTCAGTTCTAGGCATTCCACAGTAAGGGGGTAGGTATTAAGCTCAAACTTGTTAGCAAACAGGCTTGGTGAATTAACCAGCCACTTTAAGTCTCCGTTTCCATAGATACAAATACCATGTACATAGTGGCCTGCAAAAGAAAGAACAAGAAACAGAGTCAAAACATGCTTGCTTTCAAAAGGGTGATGAACTTACAGAATACTAGAGGTACTCTCCGACTAACTACAACTGTGCCAATGGTACAGGATTCAAATGAAATATGATTGTGCAGTCTCAGCCCACAAAGAACTGGAACTCTATTTAGAAGAACAAGAGGTACAAATATGTTATTTGAAAAAAATGAGAGTTAAATCATACAAGGCATAAAGTAACAGGTGTTAATATTTTAATTATGTTAATTATTGTGTATATCAAAATTAATATGAAAATTGTGTTAGTAACATAATAGGTGTTACAAGGTCATTCATGTACAGTAATCCCCCCTTATCTGCAGTTTTGCTTTCTGAGGTTTCAGCTACCCGAAGTCAACCACGATCCAAAAATATTAAGATATTTTGAGAAAGAAAGAGAGCATATATCTTTTATTACACATAACTTTTTTATTCACAGAACTTTTATTCACATAACTTTTATTACAGCATATTGTTATAATTGTTCTATTTTATAATTAGTTATTATTGTTAACCTCTTACTATGCCTACTTCAAAAATTAAACTTTATCATAGATATGCATGTACAGGGAAAAACAAAGTATATTTAGAGTTCGGTACTGTCTGTGGTTTCAGGCATCCACTGGGGGTCTTGAAATGTATCCCCCCGTGGATAAGGGGGGCCTACGGTATTACTAAATGAGAGTTACAGATGAGAAGTCCTACAGTGGTACAGGTGGGAGAGATCTTTATGGGTTGCGTTGAGTAAGTCTTTTTCCTGAGCTCTGGTCTATCCAAGTGCCTACTTTGCACCTCTGCCTAGATGTGTGATAAACCTCAGTGATGTAACACGTCAATATTGAAATTTTTTTTTTTTTTAACCTCAATAGCTTTTGGGGTGGGGACTTCCTGCTGGGAGAGGGGGTTTTGTTGGGAATAGGTTAGAAACAAGAATGGTAGGAAGTTGCAACCATTTTCCAGAGATTCTTCTGGGCACACAGGACAATTGCTGGTTGACTGACTTCACAGACTGAAGGGTTGGGCCTTGTGTCTCACAAGTATGGACAGTCCTTAAAGATTTTTGAAGAGAAGAATCAAGTGATGAAACTCATTTTAGCAAGATTAATTTTGAAGTGTTTTGCAAGGTACATTAGAAACCAAGAGGCTGCAGTAATAACACAAACTGGAGAGCTTGTTCAAAGTTAATGTCTGTGATGAGTGGGAAAGGGAGGATGTTGAAGACACTAGTACAGAAGGACAGATAGAACATGGTGATTAATTCAGTGGGCTGGGAAGAAGCATAATAGAGAGTAGAAGTCATTGGGGAAAGAAGCCAGAATTGTAGGAAGTGAAAGAATGACCAGGCGGCGAGAACCAAAAACACAGGCCTTAAGCACACGCTTAAAGAAATGGAAGTGAACAAGGAAAGAATATTTCGGCCTGGAGAAAGCAGAAGGTTCATAGACAACTCGATGTCTTCAAGATAGGGGCAATGAGTACAGGCTTTCAGAGAAAAGGAAAAGAGGCAGCAGAAAGGGAGAGGCTGAGAATGCAAAAGAGCAAGGGTCTGAGAGAGGGGGCCCACAGATAGCTGAGACCATAGCTGGCGGCTTTTGTTGGGAGGATGGGTGACTTGTCCTCTTGAAACAGGAGGGAACAATGAAAGAAGGTGTCCACACAGCTCTAAGATGGTGGGGCAGGATGACCTGACAAGGGACTAGATGATGAATTTTGATCACATATCTTGAATGTTCTTTTTCAAGTTGAAATGGTCGCTTTTGAGAATAGAAAGGCTGTTTTAGCATAACCTTGTGATATGGTTTGGCTGTGTCCCCACCCAAATCTCATCTTGAATTGCAGCTCCCATAATTCCCATGTGTTGTGGGAGGGATGCAGTGGGAGATAGTTGAATCGTGGGGGGCAGTTTCCCCCATGATTGTTCTTGTGGTAGTGAGTAAGTCTCACAAGATCTGATGGTTTTATAAGGGGTTTCCTCTTTTGCTTGGCTCTCATTCTTGGCTCTCATTCTGTTTTTCCTGCCACCATGTAAGATGTGCCTTTTGCCCTCTGCCAGGATTGTGAGGCCTCCCCAGTCACGTGGAACTGTGAGTCCATTAAACTTCTTTTTCTTTATAAATTACCCAGTCTTGGGTATGTCTTTATCAGCAGTGTGAAAACGGACTAATACACCTTGGGAGCTTAAAGGTGAGCAGGAAAGCTGAAAAGGTGTCCCTTAGGAAGGGCACTAGGAAAATAATGAGGTAAACAAAAGGATAAGTAGGTAGCCAGGAGGCCTAGCTGAAGGTAGATGACAGGACCCAATGGTGGGTTTGTCTTAAGAGAGTTCCGCAACACTCCCCACCAATACTCTGCCTAGGGAAGTACAAACGGCAAAAAAGGCAGATGGTGGTAATGATTAGGGTTAGGAATCAGCCTTGTAGGGTCAAAATGGCAAAAGGACCAAAAATGTTGGTGAGGACATCTTGTAGTGGCTTACAATACACGGGTCAGACGGGGAGTCCTCAGAAGGAAGCTCATAGAAGGAAAAAGCTTGAAATGTTGAACCTCTGGAAATCCCAATTCAAACCAAAAACAACATGGTTTAGGTGTGGACACACAACAGTGAACAAACTGGTCAAAAATCCTAGCTGTCTTGGAGCTTCTGCTCTGGGAAGAAAGACAGTAAAATAAGTAGGATGTGAGTAGGTGAAGGAAACTAGTAGAGGTGACAAAGACACTGTAATCAGAGATGGGCACTCCAAGTTGAAGATCATTCTAAGTGCTAAGAGGGCTGATGAAGGTAGTACAGGCCGGGTGCGGTGGCTCATGCCTGTAATCCCAGCACTTTGGGAGGCCGACGCAGGTGGATCATAAGGTCAGGAGTTTGAGACCAGTCTGGCCAACATGGTGAAACCCCGTCTCTACTAAAAATACAAAAATTAGCTGGGTGTGGTGGTGGGTGCCTGTAATCTCAGCTACTCAGGAGGCTGAGGCATGAGAATCACTTGAACCCGGGAGACGGAGGTTCCAGTGAGCCGAGATTGTGCCACTTGTACTCCAGCCTGGGTGACAAGAGTGAAACTCCATCTCAAAAAAAAAAAAAAATAATGTAGGCAGGTGGCATGCACTGTCCCCTGGAGAAAATACAGGCTGATTAAATATATTAACATGCTTCAGAATGGACCAAAATTTCTTTACAGTTGCATGAAAACATTGCTGTCCACAGTGGGATGAGACCATCAAGAGACACATGAGAAAGAGGTTGGTGTAATGGAGAGTTGTAGAGATGGAGCAACTTGGAGATTTTCACCTGAAACATTTAACATTTAGGTGCAGGTAAGATGGGGCCGGGCGCAGTAGCTCACGCCTGTAATCCCAGCACTTTGGGGGACCAAGGGGGGCAGATCACGAGGTCAAGAGACTGAGACCATCCTGGCCAACATGGTGAAGCCCCGTCTCTACTAAAAATACAAAAATTAGCTGAGCGTGGTGACATGCACCTGTTATCCCAGCTACTTGGGAGGCTGAGGCAGAAGAATCACTTGAACCTGGGTGGTGGAGGTTGCAGCAGTGAGCTGAGATGGCGCCACTGCTCTCCAGCCTGGTGATAGAGCGAGAATCCATCTCAAAAAAAAAAAAAAAAAAAAAAAAAAAAGATGGACTGAGGAGTAGAGGCAAAGTCTCGTTGCCATAGAGAGAAAAGGCCAAACCACCATATTGTCATTCATTCATTGATTCATTTGTTCAAACAATCACTTACTAAATAAATATTTATTGCATATTATGGACTGAATTGTTTGTCTCTCTAAATTCATATGTTGAATCCTAACACTGAGTGTCTCAGAGTGGAGACAGGGTCTTTAAAGAGGTAATTAAATTAAAATGAGACCTTTAGGGTGGGCCATAATCCAATATGACTGGTCTCCTTAGAAGAAGAGGCGATTAGGACACAGACACGCACAGAGGGAAGACCATGTGGGAACACAGGGAGAAAATGCTATCTACAAGCCAAGCAGAGAGGCCTTAATAAACCAGCCCTGCTGACACCTGGATCTTGGACTTCCAGCCTCTAGAACTAAATAAATTTCTATTAAGCACCCAGTCTGTGCCACTTTGTTATGGCAGCCCTAGCAAACTAATACTCATGCCCAGTATATGCTGGGCAATATTCTGAATGCAGTGTGTGCCAGGACTGATAAAAACTCTCCTTCACAAAATTCTATAGAAATGGAAATGACTTAGGATTTCTAGTTCTTTTCCATTTGGAGGGGAACCCTTCTTGCTAGTGTAACCTGCCATCCATCATGCCAGAGCTGTGCAAACCCCGACAGCTCTCCAAGCCACTGGGAAGGCTGCCTGTAGGGGGAGCAGGGACTGGCCTGAGGGTTGGGGGCCCAGCTTTCTCTGCGGTGCCAACATGACATCACTTCTCCTCCTGATGGCTTTCGCCTCTGAACAGCTGGACTCCCAGAAGGCACAGCAAGAGGAATAAACAAGAAAGCTGACTCTACAAGAAAAAAAAAAATTAGCCAGGTGTGGTGGTGCACGCCTGTGGTCCCAGCTTCTTGGGAGGCTGAGGTGTGAGGCCTGAACCCAGGATGTTGAGGCTGCAGTGAGCTGCATTCATGCCACTGCACTCCAGCTTGAATGACAGAGTGAAACCCTGTCTCTAAAGAAAGAAAGAAAGCTGAAAACTAGCAGGAAGAAAAACATGCCGCCCTGATTTGAACCCATTTTTCCATCTCCCTAGGTAATTATAAGTTAGAGAACATCAATGAGATGTTTAAACTTATTTTTGAAGGACTGTGTCTTGAAGCCTCTGGCTTCTCCAATAACTAACAGATTGGTCTAAATATAGCAGCAATTCTCTCTCCATGAGAACCCTGGATTCCACAGCTACCTTCCTGCTAACACCAACAGGCAGTGGCCTAGAAGCATGGAACGAGAGCCTCACCGTGGCAGCCTCCGTGTCTGTCTTCCATGTCACTCCACTTTATAGCTCTGAGGTTTCCAGTCCAGGATGCATTTGGCATAGAGCCAGGAACACCTGCAATGTTGATAAAGAAGAAGCGTAGAGATGAGAGTCATGAGAGAAGGGCATCAATTTCATCAATTAAGCCTCTAAGTCAGGCTTACTTTCTTTCAGTTTATTACCTTTCGCATTTCACACAGATTGGTATGTACTGATCTACCCATCTTCTGTTTCCTCCAGTTGATCTTTTGACCAGAATTTTAGTTGTTGACTCATCATCTAATTAGTATAACATCTAATTCAATCAATATACAAATCAATATACTAATACAATTCTGATCCATTTACTAATACCTAATTCGGTTGAGGGGTGGGGTGCTGTAGGTTGGCATCTTGCTAAGCCAGGGTTTCTCCACTTCAGCGCGATTGACAGTTTGGGCTGGATGATTCTTTGTTGTGGGGGCTGTCCTGTGTTTTGTAAGATGTTTAGCAGCATCCTTGGCCTCTACCCAATAGATGCCGATAGCACCCTCTCCTCAATTGTGACAACCAAAAATGTCTGCAGATATTGCCAAATGTCCTGTGGGTGAGCAAAATCACCCCATTTGAGAAACACTGTGCTAAGTGTTTTTCAATAACCCTGTCTATGAAATAAATTTTGGATAGGTCATAGAGATTGAAGGGTCTATTTAATCATAGTTAGACTCCAAGATTATAATATATAAATCATTACTAGAGAAGAAGTTGCCAGACATAGTGGTTCATGCCTGTAATCCCAGCACTTTAGGAGGCCGAGGTAAGAAGATCCCTGGGCAACCTAATGAAACCCTGTCTCTACAAAAAATAAAAAATTAGCTGAGTGCGGTGGCACGTGCTTGTAGTCCCATCTACTTAGGAGGCTGAGGTGGGAGGATCATGTGAGCCTAGGAAGGTCAAGGCTGCAATGAGCCATGATTGTGCCACTGTACTCCAGCCTGGGTTACAGAGCAGGCCCCTGTCTCAAAATAAAAAAAAAAAATTAAAAAAAGAAAAGGAAAACATGGGAGTCAACATAAATGCAACTAAAAGAGAAATACTTTGCTTTAGAGTTACAGCATTTTCCACCAGTGAGTAATGCAATCTGAATTTTGATGCAATGGCACTGTGCAAATGCTATCTGTACCCAAATTTCAATAGTCCTCTCTTAGAAGATTCTTTTTAATTACTGATAAGATATATTGTGGTAGGCAGAATAATGGCCTCCACCCACTCACTCCCTCAAACACACACATGCAGAACAGACAAAGATGCCTACATCCTAATCCCTGGAACCTGAGAATATGTTATTTTACACAGCAAAGGGAGATTAAAGTTGCTGATCAGCTGACCTTAAAATAGGGAGGTTATCCTGAATTATCTGGGTGAGCCAAATGTAATCACAAGGGTCCTCAACATTGGAAGAAGGAAACAGAAGAGCTGGACAGAGTGACACGATGTAAGAAGGCTCCACTCTGACTCTGCCTTTGCTGTTTGAAGATGGGGGAAGAAGCCACCAGCCAGGAATGTGAGTGGCCTCTAGAAGCTAGAAAAGGCAAGGAAATGGATTGTATTCAGAGCCTACAGACAGGAACCTGACCCAGCCAATGCCTGGATTTCAGCCTGGTCAGGCTTTTGTCCTGCAGAATTGTAAGACAATATATTTATGTTGTTGAAGCTGCTGAATTTGTGGTAATTTGTTGCAGAGCCAGGTAAAAAGCTAATACACATGCTAATGAGAAAAAGAACGACTCAAGGGCTGTGTACAGTGGCTCATACCTGTAATCCTAGTGCTTTGGGAGGCCGAGGTGGGAGGATTGCTTGAGGTCTGGAGTCCGAGACCAGCCTGGGCAACATAGTGAGACCCTATCTCTACTAAAAATTTTTTTAAAAATTAGGCAGGCTTTGTGACTCCCACCTGTGGTCCCAGCTACTCAGGAGGCTGAGGCAGGAGGATCACTTGAGCCCAGGAGTTTGAGACTGCAGTGAACAATGATTGCACATCTGCACTCCAGCCTAGGCAACACAGAAAGACACCATCTCCACAATTTTTTTTTTTAAATTAGCCAAGCATGGTGATGCACTCTTGTAGTCCCAGCTACTGGGGAGGCTGAAGTGGGAGGATTGCTTGAGCCTAGGAGCTAAAGGCTGCAGTGAGTTTGAGTACTACTGTATTCCAGCCTGGGTGACAAGAGAGGGATCATTCCTAAAATAAAAGAAGAAAAAAGCTACTTAAGACAATGAATATTTTTAATAGTTTTTAATAAAGAAAAAATTGGACAAGACCAATATTTTGAAGAAATTTAATTGAATTAGGCTTTTAAAAATATTAATAAAAATGTGCATTTTCAGAAGATCAGAAGAAAAAAGGTCTGTTCTTTTGCCCTGATGTCATATGATGATTATATGATGATCTGATTTGTAACCAGGTTTCCTAACTAAAATTAAATTTTGTTACAGCTTTTCCTGTAAACAGCATGAGTCTTAAATCCTAAGGGCTCTCTATAAGGCAAGAGTCTTTTCTTCTTGCTACCTAAACTTGAATTTATTTAATAAAAGTATTCAAGTATTCAAGAAAAACACTATTAAGCAATATTTCTATTTCTTTAACTTGCATTTTAATACTTTACAATTATTTTGATGCTTGCCTATCTAAAGGAAGCTACCTTGTTTTGTTCTTAACACACATTTTAAAAGAATTTGGAGTAAAACTTGTCCGGTGAAGCTGTGGGATGGAGAAGGAGAGTCTGGAAAGCAAAGAGAGAATCTGGCTTATTTACCGACATTTGTGTGCTTAGCTGACGTGTTATTATGAGCCAATGTCTATTAAATAACTACATCATAAAAGTATGAAGAGTACATTCCCATGACAAAAAGTCATTTAATGTTGAAATGACTATTTTTGAAAGCACAAGACATTTTTCTTCCTTTTTCATTCTCTTTAATACTGATAATCCCAAACTGACTCTTACTCAGAAACAGATTCCATTATTGCAGAGGTAAGATCGTGACATTTATAATTAATTACCTGCTGTCTTTATAAAATGAACACATAACACCTACTAACCTCGTGTTACTGAAATTCCAAACCTCAACTTCAATACTTTCTGTTTGATGACAGGTGTCAAACACGTATGTGCTTACATATTATGCATGTTTGTGCATTAAAACATTACATTTTTAAAAGCAGAAGGGGAAAGAAGGGCAAACAGAACAAGTTGAATTCTACTCTTTTTGCAAAGAATTCTGAGGCGCAGAAAGTGGCAGGAGTGGGCACAAAGCCTTGCTTTTTGAGTGTGGCTCTTAAGAGTAGGGGCATCAGCAGCACCTGGAAGCTTGTTAGAAATGCAGAATCTGGCCAGGCGTGGTGGCTCACACCTGTAATCCCAGCACTTTGGGAGGCCGAGGCGGGCGGATCACCTGAGGTCAGGAGTTCAAGACCAGCCTGTCCAACGTGGTGAAACCCTGTCTCTACTAAAGATACAAAAATTAGCCGGGTGTGATGGCACGCACCTGTAGTCTCTGCTACACAGTAGGCTGAGGCAGAAGAATTGTTTGAACCTGGGAGGTGGAGGTTGCAGTGAGCCGAGGTTGCAGCACTGCACTCCAGCCTGGGCAACAGAGTGAGACCCTGTGTCAAAAAAAAAAAAAAAAAAAAAAGAAGAAATGCAGACTCTGGCCAGGTGCAGTGGCCCATGCCTGTGGTCCCAGCACTTTGGGAGGCTGAGGTGTCAGAGGCCTGTGAACCAGAGCAACTCCATCTTAAATAGGAGCTGGGTAAAATAAGGCTGAAACCTACTGGACCGCATTCCCAGATGGTTACGCATTCTAAGTCACGGTGAGCGATGACAGCATGCTAGCAGCCCTCGCTCGCTCTCGGCACCTCCTCGGCCTTGGCACCCACTCTGGCCCCACTTGAGGAGCCCTTCAGCCCGCGGCTGCACTGTGGGAGCCCCTTTCTGGGCTGGCCAAGGCCAGAGCCAGCTCCCTCAGCTTGCTGGGAGGTGTGGAGAGAGAGGCGCCGGCGGGAACCAGGGCTGCGCGCAGCGCTTGCCGGCCAGCGTGAGTTCCGGGTGGGCGTGGGCTGGGGGCGCCCAGCACTCGGAGAAGCCGGCCGGCCCCGCCGCCCGGGGCAGTGAGGGGCTTAGCACCTGCGCCAGCAGCTGCTGTGCTGGATTTCTCGCTGGGCCTTAGCTGCCTCCCAGCGGGGCAGGGCTCAGCACCTGCAGCCGGCCATGTCTGAGCCTCCCCCCGACCGCCATGGGCTCCTGCGCGGCCAGAGCCTCCCCAACGAGCACCCCTCCCTGCTCCATGGTGCCCAGTCCCATCGACCGCCCAAAGGCTAAGGAGTGCAGGCGCACGGAGTGGGACTGGCAGGCAGCTCCACCTGCGGCCCTGGTGCGGGATCCACTGGGTAAAGCCAGCTGGGCTCCTGAGTCTGGTGGGGACGTGGAGAACCTTTATGTCTAGCTAAGGGATTGTAAATACACCAATCAGCACTCTGTCTCTAGCTCAAGGTTTGTAAACACACCAATCAGCACCCTGTGTCTAGCTCAGGTTTTGTGAATGCACCAATTGGCACTCTGTGTCTAGTTACTCTGGTTGGGTCTTGGAGAAACTTTATGTCTAGCTAAGGGATTGTAAATACAGCAATCAGCACTCTGTATCTACCTCAAGGTTTGTAAACACACCAATCAGCACCCTGTGTCTAGCTCAGGGTTTGTGAGTGCACCAATCGGCACTCTGTATCTAGTTACTCTGGTGAGGACTTGGAGAACCTTTATGTCTAAGGGATTGTGAATGCAGCAATCGGCACTCTGTATCTAGCTCAGGGTTTGTAAATGCACCAATCAGCACTCTGTGTCTAGCTAATCTAGTGGGGAGGTGGAGAACTTTTGTGTCTAGCTCAGGGATTGTAAATGCACCAATCAGCTCTCTGTAAAACAGACCAATCAGCAGGATGTGGGTGGGGCCAGATAAGAGAATAAAAGCAGGCTGACAAAACTAACAGCGGTACCCTGTTTAGGTTGCTTTCCACACTGTGGAAGTGCTGTTCTTTTGTCCTTTGCAATAAATCTTTGTACTGCTTACTGTTTGGGTCCATACAGCCTATATGAGTGGTAACACTCACCACGAAGGTCTGCAACTTTACTCCTGAAGCCAGCAAAACCACGAACCCACTGGTAGGAACAAACAATTCCAAACGCACCGCCTTGAAAGATATAACGCTCACTGCAAAGGTCTACAGCTTCACTCCTGAGCTAGCGAGACCACGAACCCACCAGAAGGAAAAAACTCTGAACACATCCAAACATTAGAGGGAACAAACTCCAGACCCGCTGCTTTTAAGAACTGTAACACTCACTGCGAGAGTCCGCAGCTTCATTCTTGAAGTCAGTGAGACCAAGAACCCACCAATTCCAGACATAGCAGGATGAGACAGGAGTCAGCACAAAATACAGGTCATAAAGACCTTGCTGATATAAACAGTTTGCAGTAAAGGAGCCGCCCAAAACCCACCAAAACCAAAGTGGCGATGAGAGCAATCTCTGGTCGTCCTGCTACACTCCCACCACTGCCATAGCAATGTCAGGAAGTTGCCCTCTATGGTCTAAACGGGGGTAATAATCCACTCCTTGTTTAGTGTATCTTCAAGAAATAACCATAAAAATGGGCAACCAGCAGCCCTCGGGGTTGCTCTGTCTATGGAGTGGCCATTCTTTTATTCCTTTACTTTCTTAATAAACTTGCTTTCACTTTGCACTGAAGACTCACCCTGAATTCATTCTTTTGCAAGATCCAAGAACCCTCTCTTGGGGTCTGGATCGGGATCCCTTTCCTGTAACAGGCAGGTAGATCTCTTGAATCCAGGAGTTTCAGACCAGCCTGGGCAACATACAGAAATCCCATCTCTATGAAAATACAAAAATTAGCTGGGTGTTGTGATGTGCGCCTGGGGCCCCAGGTGTTCGGGAGACTGAGGTGGAAGGATCATCTGAGCATGGGAGGTCAAGGCTGCAGTGAGCCAAAATCAGGCCACTGCACTTTAGCCTGGGTAACACAGTGAGATCCTGTCTCAAAAAAGAAATTGAGACCCACGCCAGGCCTCTTGTATCAACATCCAACGTCAGCATCTTCACAAAATCCCCAGAAGATTCTTGTGTGTGATCAAGTGTGAGTAGCTCTCAGCTGTAAGCAACACTGGGAGGAGGATGCAGCTTGTCCTGGGGAGCAACAGCACTGTCCTTTTTTCCTCCCCTCCTTGACCTCTCTCCCTCAGTCTTCATCAGGTTTGTAGGTTAGTCTCTTACTAACTATTCTCACTCAAAATCTTCTCTTGTGAGTGAATCTGGTCCCTATATCCTTGGGTTAATTGTAACTAACTTGTTCCCACTGCTAGGAATATATGCATTTTAACGGATCTCTCACATCACCTCCTTGAAGGCATCAGCCCACCTGTTATAGGAAAAAGCTGCACTGAGCAGAGGACCAGTTCTCACAGTGCCTTTGACTTCATAGCACTTGGCCACCAGGAGACTCTCAACCAATGTTAAAGGAATGAACGCGCGTCCATTCCCAATGCAAGGGTGGCCCCATTGACTCAGTCAGTCTTTAGTGCTGATGGGGAGGACCGTTTAGGTTTTGTGAGGATCAGACGGGCCTGGATGCTGTCTTGATTTCCCAATAGGACATGGCAACTTAAGGTGTAATAATCTCTACTTCTCAGTACCAAAAAGCATTTCTTCTACCTTTCTTCTTTTTCTCTTTTTTTTTTTTTTTTTTTTGAGACAGAGTCTTGCTCTGTTGCCCAGGCTGGAGTCCAGTGGCATAATCTCAGCTCACTGCAACCTCCGCTTCCCAGCTTCAAGTGATTCTCCTGCTTCAGCCTTCCAAGTAGCTGGGACTAGAGGGGCGTGCCACTAACGTCCAGCTAATTTTTTGTATTTTTAGTAGAGATAGGGTTTCACCATGTTGGCCATGCTGGTCTTGAGCTGAACTCAAGTGCTCCACTCGCCCTGGCCTCCCAAAATGCTGGGATTACAGCCGTGAGCCACTGTGCCCGGCCTCTTCTACCTTCTTAGCAAGCACCAACCCATTTCAATTTGCCCTTCAATAATGACCTGGGTGATCAGCAATCATCCATTCTCCATATCTGTCCTGCTTGGTTCAACTTGCTTAGGGAAGTGAGAAAATATTCAACAAGACTTCTGGTGACAGCTCAATTTGAATACCTAGTAAGCATCACTTGGTTATTATTTTGAGGAGATAATGGCAAGCTTAAGATTGAAGACCCTGAATGTACAATGTGCTCACTGTTCAGTAAGTAATTTAATTTGGCTTGGGCTGAAAGATACATGGAGATCCCAAAGCTACCAGTCCCATCACTCTTGCCAATGTCCAGTTGCTCCTTCTCTACTCCCTAAAAGCCTCTCTATTAAGCCTGTTTCCTGCCTGCTGCCAGAGACTGATCCCAGGCTGAGCACCCTGATGGAGTAGACACTGGCCTAGGGATTAGGGAACTTCCGTTCTCATTCCAGCTTTGCCACTAACCAGCTGGGTATCCCTGGACATCATCCAACGTCTCCAAACCTCACCTCTCAAATGAAGTAGGTAAATCTGATCAGTGGCTTTTCAACCTTTTAGACTGCAACCCACAGAAAAAACACTGTATACCATCACACACACACACGTATATAAAGCAAACAAGTTTCATAAAACAATACTTGTGCTTATTACATGCGATGCACTTGTTAATTTTATGTTGTTTTCTGGTCTAGTTTCATCTTAAAAATTCTGATCAAAAACTACTAAAGTGATTTCTGTATCCTCTAATGGGACACAACTAGTATTGGAAAAATACTGGACTCGATTCTATTATTATTATATTTGCTGTTAGGATCACTATCACTATTCTTTGTCAGGACTCTGGGAGGGTAGTTATGGGGAGTATGGGTAGGACCGTACCCTTCATTCACAAGAATCCTAGCAAAGGCCTATTTTTCATTATTTCTAGGACAGGGCAAAAAAAAAAGTCAATATTATCTGAGAAAACATTTTAAACTATAAAATCCAATTCTCTCATTTGCTCTTCATAGGCTTATATAAACAGAGCATTTGAGGCAAAGTTTACAGAGTAACCAGGAATGTTTTTCTTGGGGCTCAGCCTTTCTTAGTCAAATAACTGCGTTTGTTAAACATGATTCTTTGAAATGCAAGCTTTATTTATATTGACTTGACGTTCTCATTATTCTTACACAGTTTGGTCCTCATTTTGGGAGAACTATCTGTGGTAACAAGTTCCAGAAATTGCTTATTATTTAAGCTCACATATATACTTTTTAATTTCTTAAGAAAACAAGGAATTTTGTTTTTAAATGTTAAATAGTCAATGCTGATGAGAATATATTGAAAGGGCTTTCTCACAATTCAATGGTAGTGCTGAAATTGGTTCAGCTGTAGAAAATCAATTTAGAAACATGTAGGAAAAGCCACCATAACTGCCAATTCCCTTTGACCCTTTAATATCTTCAAAATAAGCTACGGAAGGGACTTTTAAAATGCAGAAATCCGTATATGAAGATGTTCATTATGACATTACACACGATAACTGACAGCACCAGCTTTGAAGTCGGAGAGACAAGCATTGCTACCACTAACTGTATGACTCTGAACAACTATTGAATCTCTTTAAGACATGGTGTACTCGTCTTTAAAACCTCACAGGGTTTTGGGAGGGCTAAATGAGAAAAATCTGTGTACAGTGCTTTGCAATGCCTGGCATACATAACCACTAAATACATGGTTGAAAATATAATCCCTTTAATAAAATCATGGGGATAATGTTTCTGTGGAAAAGACCGCTTTTTTTACTATAATCTAAAGCAGTTTTCTCAACCTCAGCATTATCGACATTTGGACCAGGTAATTCTTTGTCGTGGGGGCTGACCTATGTCGTTTAGGATGTTTAGCAGTGTTCCCAGTCTCTTCCCACTAGATGCCAGTAGCAGGTCCCCAACCACAGATGTGACAGACCAAAATCTCTCCAGACATTGCCAAATGTCCCCTCAGGTGCAAAATCACCCCTGGTTAAGAATGATTGATCTAAAGTTAAAACAAAAACAAAGGCCGGGCGCGGTGGCTCACGCCTGTAATCTCAGCACTCTGGGAGGCTGAGAGGAGTGGATTACCTGAGGTCAGGAGTTCAAGACCAGCCTGGCCAACATGGTGAAAGCCTGTCTCTACTAAAAATACAAAAATTAGCCGGGCGTGGTGGCACACACCTGTAATCCCAGCTCCTTGGGAGGCTGAGGCAGGAGAATTGCTCCAACCCAGGAGGCAGAGGTTGCAGTGAGCCGAGATTGCACCACTGCACTTCAGCCTGGGCAACAGAGTGAGGCTCTGAATCAAAAAAACAAGCAAACAAAAAAAAAACCCCACAAAAACACCAGAATATGAAATTGTATACTATTAATAAACCATGCACAAATATTTGCATGTGAAATGTGAGTGGAGGAAATACCAGTGTTTTCCTTACTTATAAAACTTTCTTTAATGTTGTATTGCTTTTATATTTTTTACAAAAGTTTATTGATATACATCTAAGCTTTATTTGCTTCATTAATTTAGTAATTGTGCTTGTGACTAATTCTAATAATTCAATTAACTTTAACAACAAAAAAAATGGAAAATTACCAAATGGCAGGGAATTGTAGTGTTAAATAACTTGTAGCCTCTTATTCTGATTGCTAATTTGGGTCATTTTTGGAAATTCAAAGTACATAGGCCGGGCATGGTGGCTCACGCCTGTAATCCCAGCACTTTGGGAGGCCGAGGCGGGCAGACCACGAGATCAAGAGATCGAGACCATCCTGGCCAACATGGTGAAACCCCGTCTCTACTAAAAATACAAAAATTAGCCGGGCGTGGTGGCGCACACCTGTAGTCCCAGCTACTTGGGAGCCTGAGGCAGGAGAATTGCTTGAATCCGGGAGGCGGAGGTTTCAGTGAGCTGAGATCGCGTCACTGCACTCCAGCCTGCCAATAGAGCGAGACTCCGTCTCAAAAAAAAAAAAAAAGAAAGAAAGAAATTAAAAGTATATATTTGTTTCCACCCAGTACTGGTTCAATTGATCAATTGAACCAGTTCAAGTGATCAATTGATCACTTAGGATTTTTTTTTTTTTTCAAATAGACATGGCTCTCCTCTCACTATGTTGCCCAGGCTGTCAAACTCCTGGACTCAAGCAATCCTCCCACCTTGGCCTCCCAAAGTGCTGGGATTACAGGCATGAGCCATCACATTTGGCCTATTTAGGATTTTTAACACGAGAAACTTACTAAAAGAGACCCTGTTTTGTTTGATGTGGATGTTTCTAGTTTTGTAGTCCCTGAGACAGTGGTATAGCATTCTTAATATGACATCTCTGCACTCATCTCGCATAACTGCCAACAAATTCACTCCTTAGTTTAAAAGGAAAAGATGAAATGAAGAAAGGAGGAAAACCCCTGAATTTTAGAATTGAATGGATTTCAAAAATTTCCTAATGCCTCCCCCTCGTTACCAAGCTATGTGAACTACAGCCTAGAAAATTTAAGTGAATTTTCTAGGCTCTAGTTTAGGAGTGCAGATGTGCTAAAGAACTTGTTGATTTTGTTTCCAGATAATTTACTCACTTATTCAAATACTTTCTTGCATGCCTCCAACATTCCAGAGTAGATGGTGGAGGTAAAGCCATGAATGGGATATTCTTGGGGTTTTCAGCTTAATGTATCTAGAGAATTTATATTTATTAATATCTTCAGTAGCAGCCTAAATGCCTTCAAGCCAGAGTCATTCTTGGACAGTCTTCTGGTGAAGACTAGGCAATGTCAGTAAAAAGTTGAGAAACATAGGCAATCCTTGGCTCAGAGCAGTTCAGATTTCATTACAATGCTGACATGGTCCATTGGCCGCCTGCCTATGCATCTCTGCTGTTTATAATTTTTAGCTCTTGTCAAACACTCTTCTAATTATAGCAGATTTTCCTGAGGTGGTGAAGGCCTTCAGCTTCCATATTCCCAGACATGTAGCCTGAGAATGTTCCCTTCTTTGCTCCACTAAACCCTGCCATACTTCAAAATCTTTCACCTTCACGATTAACCTAATGCACTAGTTATTCCCTTCCAGCTACGACTGTTGAAATTTTGCACAGTACAGGAGTCGCCAATGGATTTCCAATCTACCAGCAGTTCTCCAAGCTGGTTGATAATAGCATTGCTCAAACACATACCTTTTGCTTTCCTTTGATGCCACAGTCCTCACTCAGGTGCTCAACATCTCTCATCAAGAAGACTGTAATTGCCTGCCAGTGGGTCTCTCTGTCTGCAGTATTTCCACCAGATGCAGTCAATACCACCAGATGGCTCTTCCTATAATCAGCACTGATCCTGTCACCCTTCTATTTGAATGGTTGACCCTGTGTCTGATTTTTCAAGCCAGCTTGAGATGCCCCACCACCACTCACCCTCCAACAAACAAGCAAACTCAGACTTGGTCTCATCCTAGACCTCTTCTGCCGCCTCTTACCACCCTTACCAGAATTCCAACTCCTCACTTCATTTCTCATTTTACATTTCTACATTTGTTCCCCTGGACCCAGCTTCATGCTTATCTCCTCCCTCAAGAGCTAGATTCTGAACTGTCATTTCTTTCCTTTGCTTCATACTGTCACTAACCAAGCAGACTGCCCCAGCCAGCTCCTCAGAATTATAACCCTGGCCAGACCCATCACTTCAGTTCTATAGATCACATTCCGGCCAGGAAGATCCCAAAATGCTGACCACAACACATAAGAGCTTTTACAATCTTGCCCTCTGCTATGGTTTGAATGTGTCCCCCAAAATTCATGTGTTGGAAACTTGATCCCCAGTGCAACAGTTTTGAGAGGTGGGACCTTAAGAACTGACCAGGTCATGAGGGCTCTGACATCATGAATGGACTAATGTCATTATTTTGAGTATGGGTTCATAATTGCAGGATTGGGCTCATTATCACAGGAGTGGATTTATTGTAAAAGCAAGCTTGACCCTCTCTTGGTTCTCACTCTTATGTGCTCTCTTGCCCTTCCACTTTATGCCATGAGATGATGCAGCATGAACGCCTTCACCAGATGCCACTGCTGTGCTCTTGAGCTTCCCAGCCTCCAGAATCAGGAGCCAGATAAACCTCTTTTCTTATAAATTACCCAGTCTCAGGGATTCTGTTACACAGCAGAAAATAAACTAAGACACCTCCAGACTACAAACAGCAGACTGGGAGCCCATAAACCACATTTGATTGGTAGGCCTGTTTGGTTTGACCCCTGCAGTAGGGTGGAATTGAGCCAACATGGAAAAACCAGATTTTCTATGGAAGTCTGAATTCCTATTGTCCCTTGACAACAATTCACCGGGGTTTTAGGCATCCAGGAGCTCTCTGGCCACCCTGGCCCCAACGTGTTTCATTCACCTACATTGTCTGGCCCTGTTGACATGTAGTTTGCAACACTGGGTTCCAGGCCTCATCTTTCAACAATGTCCACACACACCCAAATGTCCTGCCACACATCTGGGAATTCCTGAATTGGTCTTCCATTTTCACACAGCTCTTTGCACCTTGGCTTATGCAAATGTCTAACATAAGAAAACATGCTCAACCTTGTTAGGAACTAAGTTACTAAAGTTAAAACCCTAAGGTAGCCTCTCTTTTTGTGTTTGTTTATTAGAGACAATGTCTCTGCTCTATTGCGCAGGCTGGATTTGAACTCCTGGTTTCAAGGGATCATCCCATGTCACCCTCCTGAGTGGCTAGGATTACAGACATGTACCACTGCACCTAGTAATTCCTCTTTTTATACTTATCAAGCTCGCAAAGATTTAGAAAATAATAATGCCCCATAGTGGAAAAGGTAGAGTGAAATGGAGCCCTCAAACCCGCAAGTGGGAGTATAAATTGGTACAATTTTTGGAAGAGCAATATGACATTCTGGATTAAAAGCCTTAAAAATGTGCATATCGCCAGGCGTGGTGGCTCACGCCTGTAATCCCAGCACTTTGTGAGGCTGAGGCAAGGTGGATCACCTGAGGTCGGGAGTTTGAGACCAGCCTGACCAACATGGAGAAACCCCGTCTCTACTAAAAATACAAAATTAGCCAGGCGTAGTGGCGCATGCCTGTAATCCCAGCTACTCAGGAGACTGAGGCAGGAGAATCACTTGAACCCGGGAGGCAGAGATTGCAGTGAGCCGAGATCGTGCCACTGCACTCCAGCCTGGGCAACAAGAGTGAAACTCCATCTCAAAAAAAAAAAAAAAAAAAAAGTGCATACCATTTGACTCAGCATTTCAATCTATTGGAATCTGTCTCAAGGAAGTTATTTATAAATTATTATTTGAGGCAGAGGAGAGATTCTGAAACCTAAGCAAGTTCTCGAACCTAAGCAGGATTCAAGTGCCTGCTCTGTCAATTACTAACTGTGAGACCACTGACAGGTTATCTAATCTCTCTGTTCCTCAGTTTCCCTATCTCAAAATTAGAGTAAAAGCAGCATGTTTACCATGTGAACTTATTGTGAAGTACATAATATACTTAAAACCCTCTGAATGGCGCTCGGTACATAGTGCTGTTAAAGTATCTATCATCATTAATTATCAATTTTATTAACAAAACAACTGATTACCAATAAGACCCCCCAAATGTCTGTAAGTTAGGGCTTTTCTAAATAAATTATATTGCATTCAAATGATAGCACTCTACAGAGCTATTAAAAATTATGGTGACAAACTCTTCATGACATGGAAAGCCATGACATACTGTTAGGTGAGGTGAAATGGTCTGGATCTGTGTCCCTGCGCAAATCTCATGTTGAATTGTAATCCTCAGCGTTGGAGCTGGGGTCTGGGTGGGAGGTGATTGGATCGTGGGGGCGTTTTCCAGTGGTTTAGCACCGTCCTCCTAGCGCTGTCTCGTGATAGAATTCTCGTGAGATCTGGCTGTTTAAAAGTGTGTGGCATCTCCCCGTTCTGCTCTTCCTCCTGCTCCAGCCATGTGAGATGCTTGCTCCCTTTTTGCCTTCCACAATGTTTGAAAGTTTCCTGAGGATTCCCCAGATGCTGAGCAGATGCCAGGATTTTGCTTGCTGTACAGCCTGTGGAACTGTGAGGCAATTAAGCCTCTTCTCTTTATAAAATACCCAGTCTCGGCAGATCACCTGAGGTCAAGAGTTCAAAACCAGCCCGGCCAACATGGTGAAACCCCGTCTCTACTAAAAATACAAAAAATTAGCTGGGTGTGGTGGTGCACCCCTGTAATCCCAGCTATTTGGGAGGCTGAGGCAGGAGAATCGCTTGAACCCGGAAGGCGGTGGTTGCAGTGAGCCGAGGTCACGCCATTGCACTCCAGCCTGGGTGACAGAGTGAGACTCTGTCTCAAAAAAATAAATAATAAAAATAAATAATAAATAAATTACCTAGTCTCAGGTATTTCTTTATTGCAATGGGAATGGACTAATACATGAGGAGAGCTGGTTATAAAAACCAGTAAAGACATGTAAAACTATGCTTTTATATAAAAAACATATACTGAACTATTATCTCTGAGTATTGAGTTTAGTGATGATTTTTATTTTAGTCTTTATCGTTTTCTGCATTTTATTTTTAAAATGTTACTTTTATGACCACTGCTGGGCAGGTGGCGATTTTAAAAATTTCTCAACCACTATTAAATTTCTTTAATGGAAATTTCCATTAAATTTCTTTAATGGAAATTTCCATTAAATTTCTTTAATGGAAGTTAAAGGTACATTCTCAAAATTAACTAGAAAAAACTCATTTTTAAAAGAGATCCCAATAAATATCTTGCTTTATCATATGTTTCTGCTAAACAAGGATATATTTTGATTTGTTGTGGCAGGCTGCAAAAGATGGTCACAAATGTGTCTGTCTCACTGCTATATGCAGTCATTGTTCAGTATGACTTTGCAGCTTTTCCATTAAGAGGGGGAAAATGTTTCTCTACCTCTTGGATCTAGTTTTGGCCATGTGACTTGCTTTTGGCCAATGGGACATTAGCAAACCTGACAAGAAGGAGCCTCACTCTGTCACCCAGGCTGGAGTGCAATAGCGTGATCTTGGCTCACTGCAACCTCTGCCTCCTGGGTTCAAGCGATTCTCCTGCCTCAGCCTCCCGAGTAGTCGGGATTACAGGCATGCACCACCACACCCGGCTAATTTTTGTATTTTTAGTAGAGACAGGGTTTCGCCAAGTTGGCCAGGCTGGTCTCAAACTCCTGACCTCAGGTGATCTGCTTGCCTTGGCCTCCCAAAGTGCTAGGATTACAGGCGTGAGCCACCGCACCTGGCCAAAGACTTAAAAAACATTTGTTGACCAGGGCTTGTCCTCTCCTTGAGGCCATCAAGTGAAGCAGCTGAGGCAAGCCCATCAGAGAAGGAGAGATCATTGGGGAGAACGCCAGGTCAGGTGAGTGATACCATCCGAGACCATCTAGCCCTAGTGGAGCTGGCCTTGATCAGAAGAACTCAAAGAATCACAAAAAAACTTTTTTCAAGCCACCAAGTTTAGGAAGTTCTTTTTTTCCCAGGAAAATCTTAACTGATTTTTTTTTCTTTTACAAAGTAGATAGCAGGTGCAAATGGTAGGGAATAAATGAGGGCCAAGTCAACAAACTAGTAAATTCCATTCTTCGGTTTTTATCCCTGACGCTAGCTTTCATGTGTACCAGCGTTTCCTCACTGTGGCTGCCATTTTAGAATCATCTATGGAACTTTTTAAAAGTACCAATGACAGGGCCCCATCTCCCAGGCATTTTGAATACCTGGGTGGAGGTGGGGCCCAGACATTGGTATTTTTTTAAAATATCCTAGATGGTCAGGTGCAGTGGCTCACGCTTGTAATCCCAGCACTTTGGGAGGCCAAGGCAGATGAATCGCCTGAGCCCAGGAGTTCAAGACCAGCCTGGGCAACATGATGAAATTCTGTCTCTACAAAGAAAAAAAAAAAAAAGCCAGGCGTGGTACTGTGCGTCCCAGCTACTTGAGAGGCTGAGGTAGGGGGATGGCTTGAGCCTGGGAGGCAGAGGTTGCAGTGAGCCAAGATTTTGCCACTGCACTCCAGCCTGGGTGGCAGAGTGAGACTCTGTCTCAAAAAAAAAAAAAAAAAAAAAAAAATTCCTACATGAAAGCAATATGTGGTTAAGGTTGAGAACACCTGTTTTTTGTTTTTTGTTTTAAAGAGATAGGATCTCACTCTGTCTCCCAGGCTGGAGCACATGGCGCAATCATGGATCACTGCAGCCTTCACCTCCTAAGCTCAAGTGATCCTCCCACCTCAGCATCCCAAGTAGCTGGGACCACAGGTATGCACCACCATGCCCAGCTAATTTTTAAATTTTTTTATAGAGACAGGGTCTTGCTATGTTGCCTGGGCTAGGAATACCTGTTCTTCATAGAAGTCTTTTATTGAACATCTTTTTTATAAAGATAATACATTTTTCTTTCTTTTTCTTTTTCTTTTTTTTGAGACAAGGTCTCACTCTGTCACCCAGGCTGAACTGCAGTGGTGCAATCACAGGTCACCACAGCCTCAACCTCCCCAGACTCAAGTGATCCCACCTCAGCCTCCCAAGTAGCTGGGACTAGCTGGATGTGCCACCGTGCCTGGCTAATTTTTGTATTTTTCGTAGAAATGGGGTTTCACCATGTTGCCCAGGCTGGTCTCAAACTCCTGGGTTTGAGACACCCACCTGCCTTGGCCTCTCAAAGTGCTGGAATTACAAGCGTGAGCCAGCACACCTGGCCCAGAGATAATACTTCATAGTATTATCTATAGCACTAAAGCACCAAGTATTATGTCTCAGTAAGGAGAGAGTTTATTTTTCACCAAATACAGCAACTTTCTTTAAGTCTTGGAGATTTTCAAAGTACAGAAAAGTTCAAAGAAGTAGCCAATTGTTTATTTTCCAACTCCCTCAAATTAGCTAGTGTTAGCATTTTGGCATATTTACCTTGTGAGTCTTTACTTATTTTCTCTTAAAACTATTATTCTGTAACTTCTGCCAAATAGGACAGTGGTTATTAGAATAATTTCAAATAATACATTAAAGTACAAAAAACAAAGATCAAATAAAAAAACACATTATGAAATCTAATACCTACAAGTAACAATCATTAAGAAAGCATAGGCTGGGCGCGGTGGCTCACGTCTGTAATCCCAGCACTTTGGGAGGCCGAAGCGGGCGGATCACATGAGGTCAGGAGATCGAGACCATGCTGGCCAACATTGTGAAACCTCATCTCTACTAAAATACAAAAAAATTAGCCGGGCGTGGTGGCGTGCGCCTGTAATCCCAGCTACATGGGAGGCTGAGGCAAGAGAATCGTTTGAACCGGGGCGGCGGAGGTTGCAGTGAGCCAAGATTGCACCACTGCACTCCAGCCTGGTGATAGAGCAAGACTCCATCTCAAAACAAACAAACAAACAAACAAACAACAAACCAAAAAACAAACAAGCAAACAAAAACCTTAAGATAGCATTATTAAAAAAAAAAAAAAAAAAAAAAGACTGTCAGGCACAGTGGCTCACACCTGTAATCCCAGCACTTTGGGAAGCTGAGGCAGGTGGATCACTTGACACCAGGAGTTCAAGACCAGCCTGGCCAACATGGTGAAACCCCGTCTCTACTAAAATACAAAAATTAGCTAGGTGTGGTGGCAGGCGCCTGCAGTCCCAGCTACTCAGGAGGCTGAGGCACAACGATCACTTGAACCCAGGAGGCGGAGGTTGCAGTGAGCTGAGATTGCACCACTGCACTCCAGCCTGGGCAACAGAGAGAGACTCTGTCTCAAAAAAATAAAAAAAGACTGTGGCTTATGTCTTTCCCTCCCCTGTCTGCATCTGGACTGACACGGGTGCTTCCCACCGTGGCGCTGTGTGGTGCGCAGTGCCTCTTGTTTCTAGGGCAACTGTGAATAACATTAAAGTTTTCTTCCAATGGCAGAAAAAAAGGGAAGAAAATACCATTTCATAAAACATCTTCCAGACAAAGAAATACTTCCATGTGAGCTTATGACAATAACGTAACTATTAAATAGCTGACTAACCTACATTGAACATAGATTGAAAACAACCTTTTACAAGGGACCTGTACCATTGAGATGTATGAGGTTTCCTTACATTAAATGAGGTGAGGCGTCACTCATGTACACGTTTATCACTTTGATGGGTTTTTGAGTTCAAAAACTGCCTCTTTAGGACTTAAGTTTTATTGGATTCCAGAAATGAGAGATTCTGTTGTTTGCAGCACTTGAACATCAAGTAATAAGCTTTTTCTGCCATCTATTTATTCAGATGTGTTTGTTCACAGCTTGACCTAGGTATTTTGCATTTCAGGTGGCATTTCCTAGGTTTTACTGACTCTTTCAAATAAAAGTACAGCATTGATTTGCCTCTCACAGCAGGGTCGTCTCTCTGTCTGAAATCAATAGAACACAGTTTGCCCTGAACTGTTTTGTTTGTAACCGGGGGAAAAGTTCTTAATGACTCCACCAGACAAATTTTCATCTTGCCCTGCACACAGTGCCTTCTTCACCTTCAAAACAAGGCACCAGGCTGCACCCAGCTAGATATAAATGCAGAATTCATTCACAACTTGTAAAACCTTCCCTCCAATTCCATGTACGAGCAGCCAAGTAAGAAATTATGCTCACTTACGACTCTTGTTTAATTTTAACCCCTATTTGCAAACCGAGACAGGTCAAAAGTTGTTTAAGGTCAATGGTAAATTCCATTTGTTGCTGCATGTACTACAGTATATATAGATTGCTAAGTCTGGGAACTAAGTCCCTATCTATTGCAAGCCTAATGTTTTATAAAGAACAGCAGGGCAGTTCTGTTTACAGTCTTATTCTACAAATAACCTAGGCCTGGCACTTCTTCCTGAAATACCCATTTAACCTGGACATTTGGATGAAAAGCCCTGGGCTTCCGTTAGAAGTTACACAGCGACACAAAAACACACACATAATTAATGCAGTCAGGACCACTGTTAATCTTGGACGTGTCTGGGAAGGAGCCCTTGTGGGGTAGGGGGTCCTAGGAGTACCAGGAACATGGTTTCTTGAGCTGTGCATACAGGTAAGAGCAATGTAAAACTTCAGTGATCTGTTCAATTCTGGTATGTGCAATTTTCTGTATATAGGATTATATTGCAATAAAAAGTTTACAAAAGTTATAGAGTAGACAGAAATGTAATATTTAAATAACTTTGTAAAATAAAGCAATGAGACTGCAAAGAAATGTTGGCCTCTTCAGTGGTTTGCCCTCGTACCCTCTCCTCTGCCTAGGGCTGATTTAGGGACTGCAGTGGCAGTTTCCAGTATCCAGTTTTCCGGCATCAAGGGCTTTAGTGTTTTTTTTGTTTTTTTTTTTTTTTTTCTTGAGATGGAGTCTCGCTCTGTTGCCCAGGCTGGAGTGCAGTGGCATGATCTCAGCTCACTGCAAGCTCCGCCTCTCGGGTTCACGCCATTCTCCTGCCTCAGCCTCCTGAGTAGCTGGGACTACAGGCACCCGCCACCACGCCCGGCTAATTTTTGTATTTTTAGTAGAGACGGGGGTTTCATCATCTTGGCCAGGCTGGTCTTGAATTCCTGACCTTGTGATCCACCTGCCTCAGCCTTCCAAAGTGCTGAGATTACAGGCGTGAGCCACTGCGCCTGGCCAAGGGCTTTACTTTTAAATACTTGAATATTTTAGAAACAGAATTATGGACATCTTCAGATCAAGACCAATGACTAATATATTCAATTTATAGGAAAAAATAAACCATTGAGCCATCTGCAAACCTAAGCAGAGTTTTTCCTGTAAGAATTCTGATAAGAAACCATACTGGGGCGTTGTGGCATGCTCACCATGATGCTCTTGTATGATCTGATTGATTGATGGCAACTTTTATGAGTCTGTCACATGTGTTTTCAGAATAAAAGTGGGACACACTTTTGGTTGTTCTTGTTCTTCCAATTAAGTTCACGGTGTTTCTACTATTCATTCTGAATCACTGATATTGAAAAATCAAAGGTAATAAAAGTACAAGTTTAATTACATAATTAAATGCTGTACTTACTTTTAGTTTATTGCCCCAAATGAATAATATTACTAAGAATAGCCCTACTTTTTCAAAAAAATAACGGGCCCAGCTGCTTCTGTTATTTATGGGCAAAACAAATAACATGGAAAAAGAAAAGCAGGGCAAAAGGAACCAATACTCAATAGATATTAAAACTACCAGAGGGCTGGGAGCGGTGGTTCATGCCTGTAATCCCAGCACTTAGGGAGGCCAAGGCAGGTGAATTGCTTGGGTCCAGGAGTTCAAGACCAGCCTGGGCAAAATGGCGAAACCCCATCTCTACAAAAAATACAAAAAATTTGCTGGGTGTGGTGGCATGCGCCTGTAGTCCCACGTACTCAAGAGGCTGAGGTGGGAGGATTGCTTAAGCCTGGGAGGTGGAGGCTGCAATAAGCCAAGATTGCACCACTGCAATAAGCCAAGATCGCATCACTGCACTCCAGCCTGGGCAACAGAATGAGATGCTGTCTCTAAATAAATAAATAAATAAATAAAAATAAAACTGCCTGAGGATCTAAGAGAGACCCTCACGAGCACCTTGTAACATACAAAAGGCATTCATTAATAGAAAAGAAAGAAGAAGCAGCAGCGCTTTCTCAGCCCTCAATGGCTACATACGCTATGATAAAAATATGACTTTCCGGAAAAGGCAAGCAGCAGGGATGGAGAACAGGTCAGGATTTGGCAAGGGGACACTGGGGGTAGGGGTTGGCTCCCAGGGGCAGCATGAGGGAATTTTGGGAACTGGCGGAATTGTTCTTGATGGCGGTAGTGGATGCGTGACTCTATACCACTATCAAAACACACGGAACTGCACACTAAAGAGAGTGAACTGTATGTATATAAATTAAAGAATACAAAGAAGCTGCTTCAAAATCAACAACAATGTAAAACAGAACGGATCTCCTTTATGGTAAATGTATACATTTCAAAAACTGTATTATATAGTATACCTATAAGACTTTGATGTAATATTGATATGCACTCTTTTCCCATAAATTCTGAACACTTTTTAAGAATCCTGTCATTGAAACCCAAATTTCAGTATTAGTATAGACACCAAAATATTCATACTGCCCCTTTGCTCAGATATCTATGACATTTCAGAAAGAAATTATAAGAAGCACTAAATATAGAAAGATTATTGTCTTGAAGGACTTAAAAGTCTTATCTTTGTGGCCAGGTTCAGCTGCTAAATCATGCAACACAGACAAATCATTTCGTCTCCCTGTGCCTGGTTTCTCCACTTTAAATGATGAGAGTATCCCTTCCAACCCCAGCACAGGATTACACATTCCACTTCACAAAATCATTCTGTTATTCCTGAAGGAGCCTGAGTTTCTGCTTCTTTCATATCTTCCACTCAAAAAAACTTCATCACCACAACCTTCCTCTTTCTATGTGCCAGGAGTGATGCTCTTGGCTTTAGAATTAATGAGTTATAAGTTATTAAAGAGTTCATAATTCATGGCTCACAGCATGTGCCTTCTCCTCCTTTGCCACCATGAGATTAGCAGTTATTATCATTCCTTGGCTGAGAAAACCCAGTGTGGAGAATTGAAAAGATCTGTCCAAGATCGTAAGCTACAAGAAGCCATGATGTGAGCCCCCTACTCTTGGAGAGAGGGGAAGCTACCGTCTTCATTCTACCATAGCTCTCAATTCTCTGGGGACCACTGGCGGACTCTGAAGGTACATGGCCTCATGTCTAATTCATACGGCACACTGTCTCCTGCTCTTACCTCCGCTGGGATACAATAGATGGAAGCTGATAGGGAGATGGGCAAGATGCCTCTCACTGAAACACCCGGTTTCAGTCTGGTTCAGGTGCTCCCTCATTCTGGTGGAAACAACACCACATATTTTACTGAGGTAGACACAGAGAAGATTCAGGTTATTTGGGAATTGTTAGGTTTTCTCTTTTCAAGAGTCAGTTAACACTGGCCTGGGATTGCTGTTGGCTCCCTGTGTTTCCTAGCGTTGCAGTACGTGGACTGACGCGCCTGTGAACAGCGCACCTGGTACAATCGATCCCACTCACCAATGCCAGATTCTTAGTTACTCTGCTCCTCTCATTCCTTGTGCAGGATGAGCTCTGGTACTATGGGAAGCTGAGGGACGGAGGGAATTCAAGCTGCTTTTGTCTGAGTTTCAGAAAATCTTCCAGACCCTTTGTAATGGCACTTTGGGGGACTGCATTTTTTCTAGCACCTTAACAAGGGGAAATTGTTCATTGCTAATTTTCCCCTTAACGAGGGCAATTGGGTGGAATAAATACAACACTTATTTACACTTACTAGGCACCATGCGCCATTCCAGGCACTTGATATGTATTCATACATTTCATTTGCACAGTGGTAGGTAATGTTAGTATCTCCATTTTACATATACAGAAACTGAGAATCAGAGAGAGAACATAATTAGCCTCACGTCACACACACTAGGAATCTGCAAAGCTGGATTGGAAGCCAAATGATCCGGCTCCAGAGGGCCCCTTCCCTCCCCAGCACTGAATACACTACACTAGCCTTGTCCAGCTCAGCGTCCCTGGGCACATCGAGAAAATACTCTTGGAAACAAGGGGAAATGTGCTACATTAAGAACAATCAGAGAGGTGAAGATATTGTGTAAGTACTTGGTACTCAGTTTCCTCCTTTGGTCAGAATTTTACAGCACAAAAATCACCCCCACACACTGCCTAGGGTGGCTGGCCTGAGTTCTACATTGTAGCAGTAGTGGTGGTTGGCATCCAGATGTGGACACAGTGACCGTGACAAAGAGAGAAATTCAATGCCCAGAGGCCATTGTTTCATTAATCCTACTGTCCACGGTGTAATATAAATAGGAATGTCATGACATTAATATACCGTGGAGAGGGAGAAGGGGGAGAGATGGAGGTGATAACTGAATTAACAATGGCTGAGAGGGGAGATATACCCCCATAGTCTGTAACTCTCACAACAATCTCATGAAATTGGTATTGTCCTCAATTTACAGATAAGTCACCGGAAGCCCATGTTAAGATACGTTAATTGCTCAAGATCTGACAGCAGGGAAACAAAACCTAAGTCTGCCTGCCTCAAATACTTCTGCTTTTTTCACTGCATGCTCCAGAGTTAAAGCAAAATAATACAGGAATCTCTTCGGAGATGACCTAGCCCAATTTCCTCATTTTACACATGAGGAAACTGAGGCCCAGAGAGGTTAAGTGACATGCCCAAGGCCAAACAGTTATCTACAGACAAAGGTTAAAATTTAGAACAGAATTGTATAGTGTGGGTATCTAAGTCACTAGCCTCTCTTACACAGTACTCGAAAGCACTTTTTTAAAAAAAGAAAATTAAACATTCACGCATGGCTCATAATCCTTACTTTCCATTTGCTTAGTATTCTACTGTTTTTAACTGTGCAGTGTGAAGTGTTTAAAAAGTCAAAGTTCATGAGCTACTGTTCCAATCCTTAGTGTCTTCTGGGGTCATCAACACTCACATCCTGGCCAGGCGTGGTGGCTCACGCCTATAATCCCAGCACTCTGGGAGGACAAGGTGAGAGGATTGCTTGAGCCCAGGAGTTCAAGACCAGCCTGGGCAACAGAGTGAGACCCCATCTCTAACAAAAAAAGCAAAACAACAACAACAACAAAAACCCTCATAGCCTTGGAGACACCCAGAGATTCTTCTAGCCCTTTTACAAATATCTTTGAAAAGAAATGTTAGCAAGTCGTAGTCACTGCTATAAGACTGTCTCCAGACCAATTCCAGATATATTTTATGGGGTGGAAGTTGAATTAAGACAATTCCTGGCCGGGCGTGGTGGCTAGTACCTATAATCCCAGCACTCTGGGGGGCTGAGGCAAGCAGATTGCTTGAGCTCGGGAGTTTGACACCAGCCTGGGCAACATGGCAAAACCGTCTCTACTAAAAATACAAAAAATTCGCCTGGCATGGTAGGGCACACCTGTAGTCCCAGCTACTCGGAAGGCTGAGGCACGAGAATTGCTTGAGCCCAGGAGGCAGAGGTTGCAGTGAGCCGAGATCATGCCACTGCACTCCAGCCTGGGTGATAGAGTAAGATCGTGTCTCAAAAAAAAAAAAAAAAAAAAGGCAATTCCTACTTTCTAATAAATTCTCAAACACCTTAAAAACTTTCTTTAATGTCCTAAAACCAAAATTAACTGAGGCTCAGTTTGGTTAAATAACTTGTTCAGTGACTGACAAGCTGTTAAGTAGTGAGGCCTAGGATTCAAAAGATCTGTCCTATTCCAAAGTTTGTATTCTTTCATCCACATCACGCTGCAAGATCAAAGACCTCATGCAAAGTAACGAGGCTTAATAACTTAATAACTGAGGCATCTCAAATTAAATTACAGATGTGAAAAATTAACAACAATGAATCTCATAGAGAAGCCTCTGTGAGAATACGCAGTAATGGAAAATACATTCAGATTTGGCTGAAGGCAAAATATCATCGTGTCAATTCTATATTCAAACATACTTTGGACTCATTGTCTTTTTTTTTTTTAATAGAGGAAACAGAATATTCAGTCTGGAGAAGAGATGAAAACAAGGGAACTTTAATGGTTAGAGGGATACACAGGAAACAGTGTACCCCACTAACCATACAGTGGGATACCAGTGTACCCCACTAACCAATCTTCTACTCTTAGTACCATACTCCTTCCCATTTTTCCTCCAGAAAAACGGAGGCCAAGAGAATGGAAATCTTTTTTTTTTTTGAGATGGAGTCTCACTCTCTTGCCCAGCCTGGAGTGCAGTGGCGCAATCTCAGCTCACTGCAACCTCCGCCTCCTGGGTTCAAGTGATTCTCCTGCCTCAGCCTCCTGAGTGGCTGGGATTACAGGCATGCACCACCACGCCTGGCTACTTTTTGTATTTTAGTAGAGACGGGGTTTCACCACGTTGGCCAGGCTGGTCTTGAATGCCTGACCTAGTGATCCACCCGCCTAGGCCTCCCAAAGTGCTAGGATTACAGGTGTGAGTCACTGCACCCAGCTGAATGGAAATCTTAACAAACCGCATTCTGCCTCCTACTTTGAATGCCTAAAGAGCTTGTGCTTGTAGATTCAGCTTTGTTGCTGAAAAACAAAGAAAAAGAAAACTCAGTCCGGTTCATGTAGTATAGCCTAAAAGGTGAAGTTGGATAAAAATATTTTTACTTTTCAGTGAACTGTTATTATGGGATGAGGAGAAAGCCTTAGTCTGGAATATCAGAATTTTGCATTTTCTTTGAAAAGAGGAAGCTACTTATTTATGAGAATTATAGTGTCAACTCAAAGATTTGTCATACATTTTCGGTTTTTTTGCTTTGAGTTTGCATAACAAGTTGATGATTGTCGAAACTGGCTGATGGGCATGTGAGGATTACAGTACTGTTCTCTGCACTGTTGTGTGTGTTTATAAGTTTTTCTATTAGAGTTTAAAAATTACTCCTCTGCAAAGAGGATGGGCAAAATTTGTTTTAACACTGAGGAAGCCAAACACTCAAAATGGGAAGATGTGGCCAAGCCAGTCAAAACCTACATAGAATAATTGTGAAAAGGCTCTCATTTTTTTTCAGATCTTGGCTATGTTGATTTCCTTTCCCAAGAAATTATATTATGACATCTTAAGTCCTTTCTGGAACATGGTACGGCTTAAGAAAAGAAAGCAACCCAACCAACCGGCCGGGCAGAGTGGCACGCCTGTAATCCCAGCACTTTGGGAGGCCGAGATGGGCAGATCACGAGGTCAGGAGATCGAGACCATCCTGGCCAACACGATGAAACCCCATCTCTACTAAAAATACAAAAAATTAGCTGGGTGTGGTGGCGGGCACCTATAGTCCCAGCTACTTGGGAGGCTGAGGCAGGAGAATGGCGTGAACCCAGGAGGTAGAGCTTGCAGTGAGCCAAGATCGCGCCACTGCACTCCAGCCTGGGGACAGAGCAAGACTCCGTCTCAAAAAATTAAAAAAAAAGAAAGAAAATAAAGCAACACAATTCCTGCTCCTTTCCTGTGATATGACTGATTTCAAAAATAGATAGCATTGACATCCTTCATGTTTTTAAGGAAACACTCTTCTAATGGATAATACACATTTCATAGTGTTATGTAAGGGGTAAGTGAAGCTTTTTGGTGGTCATAAAAAGTACATCAATAACACTAATGGAAATCAAAATGATCAAGAACAGATATCCCAGTCTGGGCAACATAGTAAAACCCCGACTCGACAAGAAATTAAAAATTAGCAGGGCATGGTGAGGCAGGCTTATAGTTCTAGCTACTGGGGAGGCTGAGGTGGGAGAATTGCTTGAGCCTGGGAAGTCGAGGCTACAGTGAGCCGTGATCACACCACTGCACTCCAGCCTGGGGAACAGAGCAGGGACCTTATCTCAAAAAAAAAAGGAACTGGTATCCACCTGAACATGTCAATTTACTTTACACATTTCCTCCTATCCATCTTTGGGTACATCTACATCTAGTTTTATATGGTTGGTGAGCCATGGCATAGACATCCTTCTATAGTGAGATTTAAATTGCTTTTATTCAACACCTTGAGGATCTCATTAGTGTAGGAACACAAGACCACATGTAGGTTTTTCTTAATAAATGTTCACATTAATAAGTGGATAAACACCTAACCTGTCATTTTACCCCATTTTTAAAATTTAATTCTCAAAACAGCCTTACTAAGTAGCCATCATTATTGTGACTACAAAATGAAGAGTTTTAGGTCAGAGTACACAAGGTCATCAAACTAACGGAGATAAAGCTAAAATTCAATATTGCATTTGTCTCACTCCAGAGCCCATAATATATCCTTAATATGAGTACATCCCAAATATCAGTTATTTGCATACCACTTTCATGAAGTCTGCCATATGCAATCAACACCATAAAGCTTTTCCTTATATCAACTAGTTTTTATTTTTACTGGTGGTTGGAAATGAACAGAATCGGCATTTGCTGCAAATCTATACATGTGCCAGTCTCTGTAAAAGATGGTCCGTGTCAGCAGTTCTCAAAGTGTGGCCCCCAGATGAGAAGCTGCAGGATAACCCAGGAAACTGTTAGAAATGCAAATTCTGGGGACTGCTCCAGACCTGCTGAATCAGAAACTTCGGGGTAGGGCCCAGAAATCTGTGCTTTAACAGGACCTGCAGAAGGTTCTGAGGCATGGCCAAGTCTAGGAACCCCTGTACTATATGCATTAGCTTATTTAATACTCACAACTTCTCTGGGAACTAAGTACTATTTATTATCTCCATCATCACAGATGAGTAAACTAAGGCTCAGTGTAAACTAACACCAGTGTCACACAGTTGGCAAGTATTGGGAGGACAGACTTACACTACGTCTGTCTCCAAAGTCGTTTACCTGATAGCATGTGGGCTCAAACAAAGGAGGATGGAAGGAGATGCTTTTGTATTGTGTAAAGAGAAATAGGGAAGAGATATGTATTTTCAAGAGATAATTTAGACGTCGAGTATATATTGATCATTGTACTATGGACATTGATATATACATATATCAATTATATATAGCTTTGATATACCACTAATATTTTATTGTTTTTAGAAGCCATCAAAATGCAATACTTCATTTAAAACAAAGACAACTGTCTAGGTGCAATGGCTCACACCTGTAATCTCAGCACTTGTAGGAGGCTGAGGAGAGAATCAATTGAGCCCTGGAGTTTGAGACCAGCCTGGGCAACATATCGAGATCCCATCTCTACACAAAATTTAAAAATGAGCCAGGTGTAGTGGTGCATACCTGTAGTCCTTGCTACTTGGCAGCCTGAGGCAGGAGGATTACTTGAGCCCAGAAGGCTGAGGCTGCAGTGAGCTAAATTAATGCCACTGCACTCCAGTCTAGGTGACAGAGGGAGACCCTATCTCAAAACAAAACAAAGACAAAAACAACTCCTGCTTCTAGAAAAAACTGTCTTATACAATCGATAAGGAATGACAGGAGGATGAATGAGTTGGAGAAATGATCTTGCCGGTTCTAAAGCAGTAGAAAGAATGCTCATCCTTTCCGCTAGAATTAAATTCATGTTCAGTTCAGCTTAGTAGATGTTTACCAATCATGATTGTACTTATACTTAATTCAATATTCACTTTATATATACTTTATACTAATATATACTTTAATCCAATTTGTCTTGTTTTATAAAATGTTGTTCTAGAGATTAGGAATTAACAGCTAATTAAGGCTGGGCGTGGTGGCTCACGCCTGTAATCCCAACACTTTGGGACCCTGAGGTGGGTGGATCACGAGGTCAAGAGATCGAGACCACCTTGGCCAACATGGTGAAACCCCATCTCTACTAAAAATATGAAAAAATTAGCTGGGCATGGTGGCACACACCTGTAGTCCCAGCTACTTGGGAGGCTGAGGCAGGAGAATTGCTTGAACCTGGGAGGCAGAGGTTGTGTGAGCCGAGACCACACCACTGCACTCCATCCTGGCGACAGAGTGGTACTCTGTCTCAAATAAATAAACAAACAAACAAACAAACAAATAAAAATAAAAGAGCTCATTAAGAGTAGCGTTTCCCAATTATTTCCTTTTTAGGGGTGGCGAACAGAAATGTTAGGGTACAGATTCTCCAATGAAGGAGATGATCCTTCCCAAATAGTACAATGGAGCCAGTGGCTGGAAACGTCACAAATGATTCTACAAATGGCTATAGCGTCAGCATAATTTACTGTGTAAATACTTTATAACCTGCCTAAGGTTTCTCTACCAGGAGCCCAGCATCTTATGATGTAGACCCATCAATCTAGGTGCTCACAAGAGCTGGGATACATTGTAAATTAAAATCTTCCCCTGTGATCCTACCTGAATTACTGACCTGGGAAGAGCCTAGAGCCCTTTACTGAAGAGGTTAAATAAGCCAGACTGGTCCACATCACTAACGCAATATTTTGAAAATCATGTTCTCATTTATTATGCATACTTAATATCATCTGGCTATCCAAAAATATTATTTTAAGAGTCTGTTCAATGGATACGAACCTATGGAAGTATCTGTTTTGTGGAATTTCTCCTTCAGCCAGAATTTATCTCCATATTGACAAGACAAATGTCAGTGTGGATTGTCCTCCAGCCCCCCCAAGTAGCGTTATTTTAGACTCGAACGTCCTGGTGACGTTTGTTAAGACATGATTCTACCCCATCATTCAACGTTTGTAATTAATTCTCAGTCACGGGTCCAATCAGCATGAGTGAATGAATCCTTTGTGGTCCTAGAAACTGAATTCAAAGTCTGGGCTGATGTAGAGAGAACACAATGCATACTTTGAAAAAGACTGGGACTGATTCAGCCACACCCAGACGTAAGGTCCCAGTGACCTTCCTGCAGAGAACATATACCTTCTAAATAGCTCAGTGTTTACAGTTGTTGAGAGCTGGAGAGACGTTTTGAGTTTCTTTCTATTGTTGTCTCTTCTTAGCCTCTCATATTCTTATAGTCTTGGTTTTTTTCCTAAGCCAACAATTCAGGAGAAGTCTACATTAAATTAAGTGAGAAGAAGCCCAGTGCATGAATGTGAGTAGCCCGGGAGTGGTACTAGCAGGAGGAGGGAGTGGGTGGCAGGTGTGGAAGAAACTCACACCAGGTGCAAGGAAGGCAGAAACTAAGTGGAGGCGTCTGCATACGCCGCCTGCTGTGACTTTCTCTTGGCATCAGAATCCGACTGCATCATGGGCCCAGGTTGGCTGTGTGGGAGCCACATTTTCTAAGGAAAGACTCTATCCCATTAACATTTTATCTGGAATAAAGTGGGGCTCGCTAATTCTTTCAGGACTCTCTCATATTTACTGATATCATTTGTTGGCCTGGCCATTGTGGAGTTTTACCTACTGTTTCTCCAATCCCTACTACCAAAAATTATCCCCCATCCTAGGTACAGGGTACACTTTCATAGGTTCTGCCCATCTTCTCAGAACTCTCCAGCACATTCCTGCCCCTCCCGACCCTTCCACATCCATCTAGCACCCTGCATATCATCAGATCAGGCAGGTGCATAGTGATGCATGCAGCGTAGGAGTAGTGGTGGAGAACACAAAGACAGATGTCACTTTTCTTATGCTTAAGGAGCTCAAATACTGAGGAGGTCTGGTAGAAGAGCTATTCAGTTAATAGGTGACTACAATTCAATGCTGGCAGCAGTGGCATTAGGTCCAGGAGAACCCAGAGTTGAAACACGATCTGGGAGGAAGGTGATCAGACATGGCATCCAGAGGAAGTGACTTCCAAGGTGGGCCATATAGGATGAAGAGTTAGACAGAGTTAGACATAAAGGATGAAGAGTTAGACAGGAAGGGCATCAAACACGAAGGACATTCTTTATGAGAGGATGTCATTAAAAAGCCATAAAAAGATAGGTCAAAATTAGGCCGGGCGCGGTGGCTCATGCCTGTAATCCCAGCACTTTGGGAGGCCGAGGCGGGCAGATCATGAGGTCAGGAGATCGAGACCATCTTGGTCAACATGGTGAAACCATGTCTCTACTAAAAATACAAAAATTAGCCGGGCTTGGTGGTGGGCACCTGTAATCCCATGTACTCGGGAGGCTGAGGCAGGAGAATCGCTTGAACCTGAGAGGCGGAGGTTGCAGTGAGCTGAGATCGCGCCACTGCACTTCAGCCTGGCGACAGAGCAAGACTCCATCTCAAAAAAAAAAAAATAGGTGAAAATTGCAGAAGTGTGGGGCCAAGTAGTTGCTGGAACATAAAGTATGAGGCATCAAATAAAGAGAAATGAGGGTAGAGACAGAGGGTGTGGGGGGCCAGGTCCTGGAAGTCATGCCACATGAAGAGCTTAAGCCTAGCATTTTTTTTTTTTTTTTGAGACAGAGTCTCACTCTGTCACCCAGGCTGGAGTGCAGTGGTGCAGTCATGCTCACTGCAGCCTTGATTTTTCAGGCTTAAGCAATCCTCCTTCCTCAGCCTCCTGAGTAACTGGGACTACAGGCATGCACCACTATGCCCAGCTAATTTTTAAATTTTTTGTAGAGACAGGGATCTCACTATGTTGCCCAGGCTGGACTGAAACTCCTGACCTCAAGCAATCCTCCTGCCTTGGCCTCCCAAAGTATTGGAATTATGGGTGGGAGCCACCTTGCCCGGCCAAGCCTTAAGGGTCCCTTAAGATCAGGAGAAGCCATTATAAAGCCTGGAGCAAGGGAATAGTAGGTGTTCTATCAGCAAGAGTTCTGCACTTCATCGCGGTTGGATGCTGTGGGGCAAAGGTCCCTGGTAACTTTGGTCCAGAAAATTCCTTGTACCTAGCTTTAAAAATACTACAAAGTAATGAAAAAAGAGCTTCTTAAATGTCTGCATATGATGTATTTAAATAAAAGACACATTTTGCTGTATTTTGTTTCTCACAGACAATATGGCACCTAAAATAAGGACCATTTTTCCTTTTCTGAGTATATCTGTAGTGAACTTAAAGTCCATATGTAATGTTCTCCACGTTTAATCAGTTTTATTACCTATAAACATAATAAAGTACCTCTGGAAAGATGTACAAGGAAGTATTAACATTGGTAGCTGATGGAGTGAAAACTTTAAAAATTTGGGACCTTTCAAATCTGCCTGGTTGCTTCTTACTCCCCAGCTTCTCTGAGAACATGAACCAAGGGCCACTTCCCATTGCCACTGGCCCAGACCAAAGCCTGCTCCAGATGGACCCCGGAGACAGCACAGAAGCCTTTGAGGGATGGTGGATCCTTTCCAGAAAGGACACCTGGTGACTCTCATGAGCACAGTGACCCTGACAAGCCTCACATAGTTGCTGTCTACACAGACACGCACACACCCACACCACACATACACCCACACCACACACTACAAACACACACCACACTACAAACACACACTAGAAACACACCACACACTACACACACACTACAAACACACCACACTACAAACACACCACACACTACACACCACACACACTAGAAACACACACACCCCACACATGTACATACACACCACACACACACCAGATACATACACTGCAAACACACACACCACACACACCATACACACATGACGCACATACACCACACACACACCACACGCACACACACCCACACCACATAACCACACCACACATACACACACACCACACACACACTACACACACACCACACTACAAACACGCCACACACTACACACACACCACACACACACCATACACATACCACGCACATACACCACATATACACACCACACACACACCCACACCACACAACCACACCATACATACACACACACCACACACACTACAAACACACACACCGCACTACAAACACACCACACACTACACACACACCACACAACACACACGCTACAAACACACATACCCCACACACATACACATACACACCACACACACACCACACACATACACTGCAAACACACATACACCACACACACACACACACACACACATCACACACACACTACAAACACACCACACACACACCACACAAGCATATTGGGACACCACACACACACACACCATATCCCTGCTAACCTCATCTCCAGCTCTAAGTGATCAGGTGAAACTTCCTTCCACAGCCCTCCTCATTTTTTCCAAACACCCTCAATCCTTTCCCTTTTTCGGGATTCTGCAGGAAATTTGCTTTAGATATACAGGAAAAAAGAAATGCTCATTCCTTCTTTTCCTAGTGCAAGAGAAACGGCTCACACTTCAGGCCACACAAATGCAGGGTCAGATTCCAGCTTTGCCTATGAAAAGCTATGTGAACAACGTGAACATACTATTGCTTCAGTCTCTCTAAGCCTCATGTTTTTCATCTGTACGTGAGGCTAACACGATGACTTCCTATCATTAAAAGGAACGATGTAGGCTATCACCAACTATACCAACAAAAATAAGATTAAATGCCACGCATGCAGTATTTACATGCGTTTAAAATAGGTGATTGTAAAGAAAGGGTTAACGCTCTCACCACTGTGATAAATGTTGGTTCACCACCCCTCCTACAAGTCTTTGTGACCTGACAGTTTAGCATCTCTGAAAATAAATTGCGCATGAGACAGCATAATTCTCTCGTCTCCAGCCACCTTGCCCATCCTCTTTCTGTCCCTCTCTAAGTAGATTTTTGTGACCACCACTCTAGTTTAGCTCTTAGGAATGCCGTGTTATTGGGGACCTTTCTGCATTGAGTCTACTTTCAGGCAAGAGGTGGCTTCAAACAGCACTTGAAAGTATGCCAATGATAATGACACTAGACATAAGAGCTGGGAGTTATTTCAAGAATGGCAGGCAGGTGTGTATGTATGTGTGGTGTGGTTGTGCAGTGTGTGTGTGTAGACAGGAAGTATGTGAGGCTTGTCGGGGTCACTGTGCTCATGAGAACCACCAGTCACCCACAACCATGCTGGGTCACTGTTGAAAACAAGCACGTGGGGACACACAGGAAAGACGTAACGCAGGTCACAGACCACCTATGGGAAACAGAGTTTAGAAAAGAAACCCAGTCCTGAACCAACGAGGGAGCTTGGTGCTATCTTCTGCCTCAGCTGCCTGGCATACCTTGGACGCTTTCCCAAATTATCATAAACAACCAAAGACTGCACAGTATATAAAAACAAGAAGCTGCAAATTGGAATGTCCAATAAAAACCTATGACTTAAAAATTGAGAATTCTCTTTGGATCATCTGTAGCTAGATTCTCTCTCCGTATGTTCCAACTCTTTGTTACCCACTCCTCCAGGCTAAAATATCAGGTTAGATTTGTAGAAACAAGAAGAGCTGAGACCTGGCTACTTGTTCAGATCTTAAACCAGAGATGTTTCAGCCAGAATGGTGATTTGTGAATATCCGAAGCAGCTTCCAAGATTCTAAAACCAGTAAGTACCCCTGTAACAGCTCCATGAACTTTGAGCAATGAGACTGCATCAATGAAAGCGATGTCTAACATCCGTCCGAAAGAAACATCACCTATTTCAACTCCTAAATTCTAGAATGCTTATTTTAAAAGTCAATTTTGTTTGTTACAGCTGTGTTTATCAAGGACTACGAAAAGTATTAATTCAAACAACAGTTAAAATTCAGCAACTATGTAATCAAAGTTAGTTTTGCTGGGGCGACTGCAGCCAGCATTTCTTAGATCACTATATCACACATATTGATAAGACAACAGTCAGCAATACACTGTTGCTACAAGCAACCAAACTAATAGTTTTCTAAGTATTTAAATTTATTTCATAATAATTTCAAATGAGTCAGTTCTCTAGGCGAGCAGAATGTTAGCAAACTCAATCTATCAATCAGAATGGAAATTAGTACCTACCTGAAACCCTATTAAGTGTCACCCAGAAATGCTCATCAGGACTATAGGTATCTTTTGACCATTGTAGTAGATCAATGGCCCTTTGGTCACGTAGAACAAAGTCGACAAACTCTCTGGTAAGCGCCACATAGGCAGTGCCAAAGTAGATGGTCAGCTGATGTGGAGGTGAAGTTTTCAAAATATTAGTATTTTTCACAAAAAAGCCACCTTTATCTGTATGCTCTTGGTGGACATATTTAGTTCGCTTAATTGCATGGTCAGGAGGCAGCACCCCTGGGGTGATATTTTTCCCTTTAAATCCTTTCAGATGCTGAACTATCTCCCGGTTGGTTTTCAGGGGGAAGTCTTGTCCACAGGTGTTGATGACGTACTTCCAGGGAACCTCAGAGGCGACAAGGTCTTTCAGACAGTTCAGGTCAGCCTGGAGTCTGGAAATGCCTGCATAAACCACAGACTCTGTCTTTGAAGCAATGAAAGCATTTTGGAAGCAACTCAGTAACTGCCTCACAGATTCCTTATACTCAGCTGGGGCTTTCTCATCCACGTGAACACAGTAGACATTTTGGGGCATATAGATAGCCCTAAAGAGCCTTTCAAAGGTGTCAAAGTCCTTATGGATGACCATGACATAGGCCAAAGGGAATGCAGCCTCTTCTTCCGACAGGGGACTTGTGATGTAGTGATTCTGGGTCAGGTAATCCTTGCAAGGGACACTTCGCAAAGGTGATGGTAATATATTTTCCCACAAAAAGACTGGCATTTTCTCTAAGGCGTGATTACAGGCAGTTTTCCTAAAATACCTTTCACTGGAACTGTTCAGCTTCTCATAACTTTTTGGCGGGCTCAATTGGCTACTGTAAAATCTCACAAAAATGACCACGCTGAGCAGAGTGAAAGCAAAAAAGCAGTACCTCCAAAAGTTCATTATTTTCACTTCCCTGGGGAAACAATCTCTTCTTTTCAGGGAATGAGAAATGATCGGTGTGAGAGGTTGAATTTGCTTCTCTTGCCAGTCTTGAATTTCGACAGCTTCTCCGGAGGGCTGCTTGCTTTCCTGAATCCTTTAATCCTCCTGTATCCTCTGCTTCGGTGTCTCGTCCATCCTTTTTGGATGTGCCTGGAGATGCGGTGCGTCCCTCTCTCACTTTGGTCTGCAGTTCCCCAGGGTTGAATCCCTGCTGTTTGCAAAGGCTCAGCTAAGCCCAGCCCAGTCCAGCCTCTAGGAAGCCTCCTCATTTACATATGAAATGCAAATTACGTTCTGGAATGCAATGATGGGTCCTTTTCACTGGAGCCGAGTTTCTCTTGCTTCACCCTCACCGCCTTTCCCTTCCATCAATCTATTCTGATCTGATCTCCCTTCTCACGCTTTCTCCAAGCCTTCTAGAATCAGAGGCTCTGTTTTTTCTGGCTAGCCCCACAACCTGCTGGCAGTCCTTAGGAGCCACAGCATTTAAGGATATCGGCTCCTCTGGTTTCTTTCTCTTCCTGTTCTCTGCCACCTCTTTTCATTTTAGTGTTATCTGTACCTCTGGGCACATACAGACACAGATAATGAAAAATGAATGTGTGCCAGGCATGGTGGCACGCACGTGTAGTCTCAGCTACTCAGGAGGTTGAGGCGGGAGGATTGCTTGAGCCAAGGAGATCAAGGCTGCAGTGAGCTATGATGGCAGCACTGCACTCCAGCCTGGGCGACAGTGAGACCCTGTCTCTTCAAACACTTACTTTAAAAAATACATTTGTAACATGACTAAGTAGAAGATTATCAGTGGCAGAAAAATATAACAAGGTAGATTAATTTAGATTCTAATGATGTGTCAGAATATAGCGCGCACACACACACACACACACACACACACACACACACACACACACACACTGACTATGGGAAGAGGGAACAAAGAATTACACCCTTGGGGGCACAGGCAGGACACAAGGGTGGAAGGAACCTAGGACTGACATTTTACATGAAAGAGTCAGTGTTGATATCATATGATGAAGTAAATGTGGGGAAAAGAAAGAGAGATCAGATTGTTACTGTGTCTATGTAGAAAACAGAAGACATAAGAAACTCCATTTTGTTCTGCTTTGAGATGCTGTTAATCTGTAACTTTTGTCCCAACCTTGTGCTCACAAAAACATGTGCTGTATTGAATCAAGGTTTAATGGATCTAGGGCTGTGCAGGATGTGCCTTGGTAAAAATGTGTTTGCAGGCAGTATGCTTTGTAAAAGTCATCGCCATTCTCCATTCTCTATTAACTAGAGACACAATGCACTGCGGAAGGCCGCAGGAACCCCTGCCCAAGAAAGCCTGGGTATTGTCCAGGTTTCCCCCCACTGAGACAACCTGAGATACGGCCTCGTGGGAAGGGAAAGACCTTACAGCCCCCCAGCCCGACATCCGTAAAGGGTCTGTGCTGAGGAGGATTAGTGAAAGAAGAAGGCCTCAATGCGGTTGAGATAAGAGGAAGGCGTCTGTCTCCCGCACGTCCCTGGGAATGGAATGACAAATGTAAAACCAACCATACATTCTACTCTAAGAGAAAATCGCCTTATGGATACAGGTGAGACATCATGGCAGCAATACTACTCTTTACTGCACTGAGATGTTTATGTAAAGTTAAATATAAATCTAGCCTACGTGTACATTTAGGCCCAGCACTTTTCCTTAAACTTATTTATGACACAGATTCCTTTACTCACATGTTTTTCTGCTGACCCTCTCCCCACCTTCACCCTATAGCCCCACCACATTCCCCTCGCCAAGATAGGAAAAATAGTGATCAATAAATACTGAGAGAACTCAGAGACTCAGAGTAAGTGAGCACCGGTGTTGGTCCTCACTTACTAAGCGCCGGTCCCCCAGGGCCCACTTTTCTTCCTCTGTACTTTGTCTCTGTGTCTTATTTCTTTTCTCAGTCTCTCATCTCCACCTTGCAAGAAATACCCACAGGAGTGGAGAGGCAGGCTCCCTTCATCAAACACACCTAAGTTTGCATGCCAGAGAGAAATGTGATAGTGTTCCCAGAGAGCAAAAGTTGGGTCCCATTTCACAAAGAGAGCTTCAGATAACTTGAGCTGTTGACACAGTATTATCTACAATATGTGGAGTGACTACCTACTGGCTCTCTTTAAAAGCCTGACAACCTCAGATTTGAGGTCATTTCAAAGAACTTAAAGGATTCTCATTCTCCTTCCCACCCAACCCCCTCTCCAACTTCCTTTTCTGAAGAAAGAACAAAACCACCAGGGCTGCTGCAGAATTCCTGGAAGTATCAGCCAGTGTAATTCAGGGGAACCAGGAAAAGCACAGGTCTGGTCGCATTACAGAGGGTTCTCAGAGTTCACCTGCTTGCAGTGCTGCAAGCGATCTCGCAGCCAATGTGAAGTGCACTGGGGATTGATGCGGACGGTAAGGACACTTCCAAGGGAGAAATTAACTGGTCAACTAAAGGATCAACTGTGGCAGCCACACGAGGCATGTTAAGAGTGGGCCCTGCTCCCATCTCACTCCTGTAGTCACCTAGCAATCGTACCTGCCGGGGCTTGTGCCAGTTGGAACAGCTGCTCCTGTTAGGAAAACATTTGATTCACAATGCAGCCATTTCCCTGCCCCCTCTCTGCTCCACTCCACCCCTTAACTTCCTACAGTGAACTGTAGGAATGAATGGCAACAGTGCCGTGGATGCGATGGATATTGATTTGGATATTAATTTGGTGAGCTGCTAGAGAGTTGGCGGGGATCTTTGAGATCACCCATCACAACCCCGTTATTTTTACAGATGAGCACATTGAGGCCTTTAAAAATATTCTCCCCAATGTCATTCAGCTGGATAGAAACCAGAGCCTTAATTCCACAGCTCCCTGGTCCAGGTGCTGAAGCCAGTCTGTTTGGCTAAATCCCAGCTGCTCACAGTGCCTGGGTAAAGTTACTTAACCTCTTTACACAACCAGGTCCTCCCACTGTGAAAAGATAAAGAACAGTGGCTCTTATTTCAAATGGTTGTCAAGACTAAATGAGATACCTCTTGTTGAGGGTTTGGCAAGAATCCGGGCACCTGGTAGATGTTCCATAAGCATTAGCTATGATTGTTGTTGTTGTTGTTTCTCTTTTGGAAAATATCCAACACTTCTGACCCTCATAATGAACTGATATTTTGATTTCTGTTCTTAGTAATGGAAAAAAAAAGCATTTACCTTAAGGTTTTCAAATGCTTTATTCCCGGAGGTTAAATTCCACTCTTTTCTTCCCCATCACTGCCTCCCCTTTAGCCCATGGGAAAAAAAATATATATATTTATATAAATATATAAATATTTTATATATAGTTTATATATATTTAAATATATATGATATATATTATACATGATATATAATATATGATGTATAATATAATATATGATGTATTATATTATATATTATAGTATATATTATAGTATATATTATATTTATTATATATATTATATAATAAATATTAAATTATAGTATATAATAAATATTATACTATTTATTATAGTATATAATAAATATTAAATTATAGTATATATTATATTTAATATTACTATATATTATATAGTATATATTATATTTAATATTACTATATATTAAATATATAGTAATATTATATATATTTATATATTTAATATATAGTATATATTATATATATTTTATATATTTAAATATATATAATTATATATATAATAAATTTTATATATTATATAAAAATATATTTTATATAAAATATTTTATACACATACATATATGAATATATCATATATGCATTTATAAATGTTTTTTATATGTACTTTAAGAGATATATTTTTGTATGCATATTTAAAATATATATTACATGTGTATTTTTAAATATATACATATAATACATATGATATATACATATATACACATAAATATATTTATATATACATATAAGTGTGTGTATATATATATATTACTATTTTATTATGTATATTCACACACACTCTAGAAATGTGACTGTATGAAGGGAACAATCCAATAACCCATTTTGATGCCTTCATGTCTCTTCATTCTTACTAGAACCACACCCTTTTCTGTAAAATTTGTCCTTGGCAGGTCTTGTGGAGAACAGAAGGGGAAAGTTGGAGTGAGAAAAGAGAGGCAAAGGTCTTCTATTGCAGGTTCAGTCGGTTTTTTCCCTTCTCTTTGCCTCAAGCCTTGATCCTACAATAAGGAGCTCTGATAAGTGCCAATGCAAAACAAACTCAAGAAATCTTTCAACATGATGTAGCCAAAGCAGTCTGCAGATGGGAGTGGCAGCATGATTTATAGTTCAAAACAGCAGTATCCAAAAATAAATAAATGAGGCCGGGTGCAGTGGTTCATGCCGGTAATCCCAGCATTTTGGGAGGCCAAGGAGGGCAGATCACCTGAGGTTGGGAGTTCGAGACCAGCCTGACCATCATGGAGAAACCCTGTCTCTACTAAAAATACAAAATTAGCCAGGTGGGGTGGTGCATGCCTGTAATCCCAGCTACGAGGGAGGATGAGGCAGGAGAATCACTTGAACCTAGGAGGCAGAGGTTGCAGTGAGCCCAGATCACGCCATTGCACTCCAGCCTGGGCAACAAGAGCAAAACTCCATCTCAAAAAATAAAAAATAAAAAATAAATAAATACATACATAAAACAAAACCCCAAAACCATGTACATCATTTGTCCTGACTTATTTACAGTGGTTTAGATGAACAGACTGAGACTAGCATGTGATGCCTTCTGAGTGGCTGGCCCTAGCAGTAGGTTTGTTTTGTTTGGTATCTTTGAATATATCAAATGGTATATTGAACAGGCATTTCCTTCCAGTAAATAATTGGGCAGGCAAAGCTATTAACTTCCAACCAGGGCATTATTTCTGCTCTGCCCACTCTAGTTGGCTCAACAGACTGAAAATTGTTAAGTGGTCATTCTGTATCAGTCCCACCTCTCTCTGCCCCAGGATAACTTTTACGGTCACAAACAAGAAGACAGCACAAGGACTATGGCTAACAACACATCATCATCTCAACTCAACATGAAAACCAGGGCTGGGCTGCCTGCGGGGCCCTCTGAGCAGTGCTGGGATTTCTCTTCCCTCACAATGAGTTAGTTCTCATTAATCTTCCACGAGCTCTGCTTCCACTGCAGGTGAGTTTACAAAGGCTGAGGCAGATGCCGGTCAGGGGAGGGGCAGGACTGGAACCCGAGTCGGACCTACTCTCAAATCCTTGCCGTTCTTCATCACCCTCTGCAGAATGAGTGGCTATTGAATCTTTTTTTTTTTTAAGGCAATGCTTTTTGATGAGTCCTCTCATCTCCACCAAGACCACTCCATCTTCATCTGTGTCTAAGGCTTTAGTTGTGCCTGGCTGGCAACCTCAAACTCTTTGGCCACAAGCGAGATGCAGGAATTAAGCAAAAACAGATCTCCAAGCAACCAAAATAATCATCACACATTGTAGGACGGATTCAGGCACTCAAATGCCTACAGGCAGGTAAGGCACAGTGCGGGAAGCTGGTGAAGGGTCAGACGAGCAGGGCCGGTGAGTTCACAGAGGGCAGCAGACATTGAGGAGGATTGGGTGGGGGCTGCTGGGAATGAGAGAGCCTGCATCCCTCCCCACCCCCCTGACCCCTGGCAATTAATGCCACAGGGGATCATGAGCCCAGGGCTGCCAGCTTTTCCAGTGTATTCAGAGAAGTGAGAAACCTGAATTTTATCAGAAAAACTCTCAAACTTACCCCTAAGGATGGCATTTGGCCCTCAGGATGCCAGTTTTGTCTTCTTTGGTTTAAGCATCAAAGCTTACATCCTTTAAATCCCTCTGAGGCTTAGCCTGTTAAATCTTAGTTTAGACACGATCATAAAATGTTCTTATAGCTAAGCAGATGCAAAGTCACAAATTAGAACAGGGAAACAAAACTGGCAGGCTCAGGTCCCCTGCCGACAGCAGTAGGTGAAGTAAGTTCAACTACAAACGCAGAGCTGTGTGAGATCATTTGGTGTAAGGATACCGGCATTTATACAGCTCCATGCCCATTTTATTACTTGTTTTTTTTTTTTTTTTTTTTTTGTTTGTTTTTTGAGATGGAGTCTCGCTCTGTGGCCCAGGCTGGAGCGCAGTGGCACGATCTCAGCTCACTGCAACCTCCGCCTTCCGGGTTCAAGCCATTCTCTTGCCTCAACCTCCCGAGTAGCTGGGATTACAGGTGCCAGCCACCACAGCCAGCTGATTTTTGTATTTTTAGTAGAGACGGGATTTCACTCTGTAGGCCAGGCTGGTCTCAAGCTCCTGACCTCAAGTGATCCACCCGCCTCAGCCTCACAAAGTGCTGGGATTATAGGCATGAGCTACCATGCCTGGCCCCATTTTATTACTTTACTAGATCAATATCTCTAGTACTTATAGAGATCAAACAAGTTAATGTCTATGAAAGGACTTGAAAGCTGTGAAGAAAACAGGCCAACCTAGCTTTCTTTGAATATAAGCAGAATACAAACATTTAGTGAAACAAATAGAAATGGATTAATAGACATGTTATACATATATTCTGCACATTCTATTTAAAAATGCATTTCTGAAATATATTTATTTAATATAGTGGGTTTTTTCATTGAGTCATTGTTTTTAATAGCACAGAATACAGAAATAATAGATTGGGACAACAGTTTTGTAAGACTAGAGGTTAATATTCCTCTTGTGAAGAGGTAGCCTATAAATTAATAAGAAAAGGTAAATAACCAAAGAGAAAAGCAGGCAGAGTACATGACAATCACAAAGCAGAAAAAACTAATGGCCAATGAACATATAGAAACACACTCTTCTCACACTAGAGATCAGAGAAATTCATATTAAAACAAAATTATGCAGTGTGGTGAATTCCTATAGTTTGATGTTGCCTCAGCATCCATTCTGAAGATAAGCTTAACTTTCTCATACCAGAAGCAGGGTTTAGTCAACCCCTACTTAACACAGTTTCCAGTTCTCCGCCTCCTCCCAGTTCCTCAATGTGGTTAATCCAGATATCTGCCTTAAACAAGTGCTCAAAAGTGATGATCTTAACAACAACAACAACAAAATGGATCTAAGTTAACTTCATTTTTGTATGCTTATCCTTTTCCATGTTCTCTCCTCCACAAGAATATAAGCTCCGGGCCGGGCGCAGTGGCTCACGCCTGTAATCCCAGTACTTTGGGAGGCCAAGGCAGGCGGATCACGAGGTCAGGAGATTGAGACCATCCTGGCTAACACGATGAAACCCCGTCTCTACTAAAAATACAAAAAATTGGCCAGGCGAGGTGGCGCGTGCCTCTAGTCCCACCTACGCGGGAGGCTGAGGCAGGAGAATGGCATGAACCCAGGAGGCAGAGCTTGCAGTGAGCCGAGATCATGCCACTACACTCCAGCCTGGGCGACAGCGAGACTCCGTCTCAAAAAAAAAAAAAAAAAAAAAGAATGTAAGCTCCATGAAGACAGGGACTTCATCAACTCTTTTTTTTTTTTTTTTACTTTTAGACAGAGTCTCACTCACTCTGTTGCCCAGGGGCTGGAGTGCAGTGGCTCAATCTCGGCTCACTGCAACCTTCGCCTCCTGGATTCAAGCGATTCTCCTGCCTCAGACTCCAGAGTAGCTGGGATTATAGATGTGTCCAGCTAATTTTTGTGTTTTTATTAGACACGGGGTTTCACTACGTTGGCTAGGCTGGTCTCGAACTCCTGACCTCAAGTGATCCACCTACCTTGGCCTCCCAAAGTGCTGGGATTACAGGCGTGAGCCAATGCGCCTGGCCAGTTTCATCTACTCTTTACCACTGAAAATAGCAGTGCAGAGCAGAGGTACCCAACAGATATTTCTTGAATGAGGTCAATCAACTACAGAAGTTAGAGAAAAGACAACAAATAAACCCACTTTTGGGTGAATCAGTGAGGGGTGGTCATGGTGGTGGTGGGTTAAATCAAGGAATAAGTGTTATGCAAAGCGCTGATTTTAAGGTGCACCTCCTACCACCACGAAGTTCAAAAACAATGACCTGGCGTTTGCTTTAAATGGATTCAATAGGCCGGGTGCAGCAGCTCACGCCTGTAATTCCAGCACTTTGGGAGGCTGAGGCAGGTGGATCACCAGAGGACAGGAGTTCAAGACCAGCCTGGCCAACATGGTGAAACTCCGTCTCTACTAAAAATGCAAAAATTAACTGGGCATGGTGGCAGACGCCTGTAATCCCAGCTACTCGGGAGGCTGTGGTAGGAGAATCACTTGAACCCAGGAGGCGAAGGTTTCAGGGAGCCGAGATCATGCCATTGCACTCCAGCCTGGGCAAAAAGAGTGAAATTCTATCTCAAAAAAATAAAATAAAATAAAAAATAAACGCATTCAACAAACCATGGAACCATGGAATTCGAGCCCCTTAACTTGGCCCATGAGCACTTCTGCTCCTGGGGCTCTGGGCAGACTGCTCGGTGACCTATCAGGAAGGAGGTAGCATCTTGCCAATTTCCCAGGGTGACAGATCCCACTCTGCTCACTTTGTGGCTGAGCTCCCGAAGGTAGGGAATGTAGTCACTTGCCTGGGATGAGAGGAGGCAACTCCAGGAGCCGCGGGAGGCGTCTGAGTGCAGAGCCCACCCCCTGCCCTACATGGCTGTCACCTCCCCCCTCACACTGCACAGCAGCCCCCTTGGGCGAGGTGTGATTTCTCTCCATTTGATGTGCAAGAAAGCCTCAGGGAGGTAAAGTTGCTAGGCCAAAGTCACACACGCCCAATTCTCACCAGCCTCCTGAGTGCTTCTTTTCTATTTTTCATTTTCATTTAATTTTTTAAAGATGAGATCTCGCTCTATCACCCAGGCTGGAGTGCAACGGTGAGAGCATAGCTCACTGCAGCCTTGAACTCCTGAGCTCAAGAGATTCTTCCACTTCAGCCTCCTGTAGCTGAGACTACAGGCACTTGGCTAATTTTATTATTATTATTATTATTGTTATTATTTTTAGACATGGAGTCTAGCTATTTTGCCCAGGCTGGTCTTGAACTCTTGGCCTCAAGTGATCCTCCAGCCTCGGCCTCCTAAAGTGATGGGATTACAGGCTTGAGCCACTGTATCCGGCTTCTTGAGTGCTTCTGAGCTCCTGCTTACAACACTTTTTCCTCTTTTCTGATTGCAATGATCTCTGAATCCTGGTTCTTCTTTCTATGTGTGTGTCTCTCTCTCTCCCCAAATCTCTTTCTGTCTCTGTCCTATTGAAAAGCCCTCTTTCATCCTGGAACTCCCCAACCCATTCCTCCTACCTCCCCCTAAGTCTTTCCATTCCACTCTCAAATGCTTCTTCCTCTGGATCCTGAATTCCAGCCTCCTTGAATAGATTTTTGTTTTTTTAATTAACTATTCTGTGCACAAAAGGGAAGGCTTCAATTATCTAGGAAACTCACGATTACGACCAAACTGTTTCCTCAGATAACGTGAGGCAAATATGTTTGCCATGTGATTCTACTTCAGGCATCAGTGTTTCTTCTGCACAGGGCTGTGTAGTAGGTATTTAAAGCTGTGGGCCATTCACTAGGTCTCTGTTGCAACAACTCAACCCTGCTGTTGAGGTGCGAAAATAGCCATAACAATGCATGGCTGTGTCCTAATAAAACCTTCTTTATGGATCCTGAAATCTGAATTTCCTACAACTCTTCATGTCACGAAGTTGTTTCTTTTGATATTTTTTCAATCATTTGAAAATGTGGCAGGGCGTGGTGGCTCACGCCTGTAATTCCAGCACTTTGGGAGGCCAAGGCAGGCAGATCACCTGAGGTCAGGAGTTCGAGACCAGCCTGGACAACATGGTGAAACCCCGTTTTCATGCACGTCCGTGTGAAGAGACCACCAAACAGGCTTTGTGTGAGCAACATGGCTGTTTATTTCACCTGGGTGCAGGCGGGCTGAGTCTGAAAAGAGAGTCAGCAAAGGGAGATGGGGTGGGGCCGTTTTATAAGATTTGGGTAGGTAAAGGAAAATTACAGTCAAAGGGGGTTTGTTCTCTGGCGGGCAGGAGTGGGGGTCGCAAGGTGCTCAGTGGGGGAGCTTTTTGAGCCAGGACGAGCCAGGAAAAGGACTTTCACAAGGTAATGTCATCACTCAAGGCAAGGACCGGCCATTTACACTTTTGTGGTGGAATGTCATCAGTTAAGGCAAGGACTGGCCATTTACACTTCTTTTGTGGTGGAATGTCATCAGTTAAAGGTGGGGCAAGGCATATTCACTTCTTTTGTGATTCTTCAGTTACTTCAGGCCATCTGGGCATATACGTGCAAGTCACAGGGGATGTGATGGCTTGGCTTGGGCTCAGAGGCCTGACACCCATCTCCACTAAAAATACAAAAAAATTAGCTGGGCGTGGTGGCAGGCACCTGTAATCCTAGCTACTTGGGAGGCTGAGGCAGGAGAATCTCTTGAACCCAAGAGTCGGAGGATGCAGTGAGCTGAGAACGCGCCATTGCACTCCAGCCTGGAGGACAAGAGTGAAACTCCATCTCCAAAAAAAAAAAAAAAAAAATGTCAACCCAGCCTTTTGGCCAGAACTACCATCTTCCAGTTAAACAGACACTGTATGAGATACACTATCACGGAAAATTTGGTTGACAAGAAAGAGGATTTAATTCATCACATAAAAATTAATTTGCCAAGATGACGAACACAAAGGAAAAGAGGAGAGGCACCCAATGTATGTTCTCTAAGCCTTTTAGAAAACATGGAGTTGTTCCTTTGGCCACGTATATGTGAATCTATAAGAAAGGTGACATTGCAGGCATCAAGGGAATGGGTACTGTTCAAAAAGGAACACCCCCAAGTGTTACCATGGCTAAATGGGAAGAGTCTGCAGTGTTCCCCAGCATGCCGTTGGCATTGTTGTAAACAAACAAGTTAAGGGCAAGATTCTTGCCAAGAGAATTAATGTGTGTATTGAGCACATTAAGCACTCTAAGAGCCGAGCTAGCTTCCTGAAACGCTTGAAGAAAAACGATCAGAAAAAGAAAGAAGACAAAGAGAAAGGTGCCTGGGTTCAACTGAAGCGCCAGCCTGCTCCACCCAGAGTAGCACACTTTATGAGAGCCAGTGGGAAGGAGGCTGAGCTGCTGGAACCTCTTCCCTACGAATTCATGGCATCATAGGTGTTAAAAAAAAATAAAAGACCTCTAGACTGTAAAACAAACAAACAAACAAAAAACATTCTTGGCTCAAGGGCAGTACCAAAATAGGCAGATTTAGCCCATGGTCTATAGTTCACTGATCTCTGCTCTAGATTATAATCATGCTCCCCCCATCCTAAATTTTGCAATTTTGGGATCTTTACAATCACCTATAATTTCTGTGTTTTTCCAGATGAGGAAGTGTGAAATGAGGGAAAATAATAATGTTGAGCATCCTTCTACCCACACCCCCTTTATATGTGCCATCTGGGTTGCAGTGCAAAGGGGTGGATTTGTAGAGAATGTAGGCAAGTAATTTACACTCATAGCCTCAGTTTTCTTTTCTGTAAAATGAAGGTAATAGAAACTACCTCACAAGGCGGTGAGAGTTAAAGAGGTTGGTAGGTATATAAGCACATGCATATATGTTGTCCTGATGCCCACCGAAACTGGTTTCTGGTGGAGGTAACAAGGAACCCATGAGTGGACAAGCTTCTCTTGGCCAGTCCGAGATATGCCAGGGCAGTCAGATGCCACCATTTATGGCAGGCTGCAGAGCCCCTCTGCGTGCCCCCGTTTCCTTTCTTCTTCTACAGAATGGAGACATTAAGAACGCTGACCCCATAGGGTTCTTAAGAGATTGAAATAGGCTAGTATATAAAAAGAGTTTAGAACAATGCCTTGCATGTAATTAGTACGTGACAAATCTCAAGACATTTCTCTCTGTTGCCAAACCTGGCTCATCTGGGCCCCTGAGCACCCTGACCACCTTACAGGGTAGGTTTAGTGAAGCAGCATGGCTGTGTGTGCAGGGGTGCTTCTGCCACCTGAAATATCCCGAAGCATAGGCAGAAGCCCTCAAGGCCACCATTGTCACGGGCAGTCTCAGCCCAGTGTGGGGGAACTGCCTTTCATTCCCAATTGCAGCCTGGGCTTTGACACTGCATCTGACTTGGTTACTCCAGTGAGCTGGCCTGCTGGTGCACCTGCAAAAAGCTAACGATGGGGTCAATATGCGGCATGGTGGTGAAGACCACTGCTTTTCAGTTGAAGACCACATTTAAACCTGGCCCTGCTGTTTGCTAAGGGTCCCTGAGAAAGCTTCTAAAAATTACTGTGCCTTAGCTTTCCAATTTTTAAAAGGCAGTAGTAGAAAGCCTATCCAAGTGGTGGAAAGTAAATCGAAGAAGCTTGCTATGGCTTCTCTGTCTGTGACACTACCTGCCCCCACCCCAACTTACCTTGCTCTTCCAGGGACACACTGCTTTTCTCTACTTCCCTAGCAACCCCACTGGGAGACAAAATTTCTTTCCCTTCTGGTGTTAACTGCCCAGCTGTTAACACTAAATGCCCAAGCAAAGATAACAACAACAATAAAACCCACAAATGAAAACTTTATCTTTGACTATATTCTGTTAAGTTTCAAGGAACAGCGTAGGTAACTATTTGTCTTTCTGCACAACAACTTTTCTCTGATTCCGAATGTCGCATCCGAGGAAAAAGAAGTTGAGAAGTTCCAAGAGACACTATTTGACAATCCAGCTGCTGCCAGAGATCCATATCTAGAACATCCCATCCTTTATATCTTCCGAACACTTTCAAATAAATGGAAACAAAAGTCTTAAAATAGAGATAGGCAGTGATTTCTTGCAACTTCTAATTTTAATAGCCTTATTAAATTCTGGACTCATTTTCAGTTTATTCAATCCACTCTTATACTAGCTCCTTTCCCACAGAGCCGGCCATTTGCCTGAGTTTAGACCGTTTGTTAGGGCAGAGGGCTTGGATAGATCCCAAAAAGCAGACGTTTCTTCTGCTTTCCTAGAAATTAAATCAGGAATAAATTTGCCTCCAAGATACATCCTGTGTTTGTACCTAACTGGAGACAATTTTTGCATTTGATGCTCTCACTGGGTAACGTAGTTTTAAGTTCACATTTTATATTTAGCCATCTATCCTTTTATTTTTTATTTTTATTTTTATTTTTTTTTGAGACGGAGTCTCGCTCTGTCATCCAGGCTGGAGTGCAGTGGCACAATCTCAGCTCACTGCAAGCTCCGCCTCCTGGGTTCACGCCATTCTCCTGACTCAGCCTCCTGAGTAGCTGGGACTACAGGCGCCCGCCACTAGGTCCGGCTAATTTTTTTTGTATTTTTAGTAGAGATGGGATTTCACCATGTTGGCCAGGATGGTCTCGATCTCCTGACTTCATGATCCGCCTGCCTTGGCCTCCTTGACCTCCCAAAGTGCTGGGATTACAGGCGTGAGCCACAGCGCCCGGCCTGCCATCTATCCTTTTAGATGACATCCTTAAACTCTATACTCTCTCCTCAAAAACAATGGGAAAAGCGTTATAAATGGAATAGGTCCAGTCCAGGTTCACTTTGGTTGGGGTCTTCAGGGCTAATATTGTAGCTTTGATTTTTACCCTTCAATATGTTGTAACCTACATAAATGAGTGGTTTCAAGGATCATTTTTTTTCCAGGTTATTGATCAGTGCAGTTCTGCGGAACATAAATATTTTGGGCACTGAATTCTTCATCCTGACATGGAAAGGTGAGCAGGAATGGGGTGGGAGGTGCTCAGGGTGACCAACTGTCCCGGCTTGCCCAGAGCTGAGGGGTTTCCCAGAACACGGGATTTCAGTACTAGAGCTAGAGAAGCTTTGGCAGACCAGGGAGAATTGTTCACTCTAGATAGCATCAGTCCTAACCACTCCCAGATAGACAATTACTACTGAAGGTATTACTGATTAGGGACATACAATAACTATCAGTGTGAAAGGAAAAGAAACATTCAAATCATTATCTCAGGGGGTGTGGAGGGGGCAGGCGTGCAAATCATCACTAAGTCTATAGTGCAGAAAATCTCTGCGTGATCCTTCTTCACATTTCCGTGAACCACTGAGGCATGGGGACAAGTGATTAATATTCATGGGATGGCTTTACAGTGAACCCAAAAGAACGCATTTAAATTATACCAACTACACAGATGTTTTCCAGTGGATATAGGAAGGTTTTAGTAACAAACAATAATGGGAGAACATGAAGAGATAATAATTTCTACTATAGGGCTTGGTGCGGTGGCACACACCTGTAATCCCAGCACTTTGGGAGGCTGAGGTGGGTGGGTCACCTGAGGTCAGGAGTTCAAGACCAGTCCGGCCAACATGGTGAAACCCCATCTCTACTAAAAATACAAAAATTTGCCGGGCATATTGGTAGGCGCCTGTAATCCTAGTTACTCGGGAGGCTGAGGCAGGGAGAATTGCTTGAACCTGGGAGGCGGAGGTTGCAGTGAGCTGAGATTGCACCATTGCACTCCATCCAGCCTGGGTAACAAGAGCGGGACTCTGTCTCAAAAAATAATAATAATAATAATTATCATGATCATCATCATAATTTCTACTATAGCATTACAGTTTCTAAACTCCCTTCCCTCTATACCACGTGTAACTTGAGAGATCTTCTTTCCGTATGGGGTGGGATTAATAGAAACATATGGGATTGTAGGGATGGAATGCTCATTCTAAGCTTTATAAGAAATAGGCAGTGAGGCTAAAAAATGTAAACTCATTTTAAGGAGCAGGACAATCAGCCAGCCACTTGATCTCTCTGGCTCACAATCTCCAAATTTGTATAACTAGGATTAGAGGATGTTCTCTAAGGCCGCTTGTGGTTCTAAACGCTGTCATTATTTTAGATTCAGCATAGAATAAAGAGGAGGCTGTTTTTATGGGAAAACTGTACCTGAGAGGCTTGGTTTAGACTGAGTACCTGACAAAGAAAGTCCATAAAGTGGTAGGATAATGGACCAGAGATAAATCTACAAGGCTTAGAAGTGGGGAGGAAGCCGGTTAACTCCAACAGACCAAAATCCTGGGAGAGAAGAAACCAGACAGAGACAAGTTCAGCCTCTCTAGGACATGGCCCAAAACATAGCAAGGACTTCAGGGTCTTGGGGACAGTAGTTTTCACATAGGACACAAGAGGGGATTTGGACTCTAAGGCAGGAGGGCCTTTTTCAGTAGGCCCCCCAAAGAGCTTGAAGGAGGAGCTCAGACTTGGACCAAGTGCAGAATTAGATTTTCAGTGAAGGAAGAGTTATGTGAAGATTGGGTCTAAGGAAGGAGATGGCTAGAAAGAAAATGAACCAGGAAATGTCCAGAAGAGAGGGCTGATGGTAGCACGAAGCTAAATTTATCAGTATGACATGAGTATCTCCAGCTTACTCGGGAAAGACTGAAGTTGTATCCTCCAATATTTTCACAGTTAAGTTCTGATCTTTTAAACCTGGCTGAGGAGGAAGATTATGGGAGAATACATTTCACAAAAGTACAGAGCTGAAGGGCAAAGTTTCGAAAGCCCAACTCCCATCCATCCATTCTCCAGAAATGTGGTGTCAAAAGGAGACACAAGGTAAATGGATTTGGGGAAAGCCTTCTGCCACTTATTGCTTTGTCTAGAAGCACTTAAGAAAGAATGCCACATGCTGGGTGCCGTGGCTAATGCCTGTAATCCCGACACTTTGGGAGGCTGAGACAGGTGAATCACTTGAGTCCAGGAGTTCAAGACCAGCCTGAGTAACATGGCAAAACCCCATATCTACAAAAATTACAAAATTAGCTGGGCATGGTGGTGCATGGGAGGAACGCATGAGCCTGGTAGGTTGAGGCTGCTGTGAGCCGTGATCACGCCATGCACTCCAGCCTGGGTGACAGAGTGCAACTCTGTCAGGAAGAAAGAAAGAGAGAAAGAAAGGAAGGAAGGAAGGAAGAAGGAAGGAAGGAAGAGAGAGAGAAAGGAAGGAAGGAAAAAGGAAGGAAGGAAAGAAAGAAAAAGAAAGAGAAAGAAAGAAAGAAAGAGAAAGAAAGAGAAAGGAAGGAAGGAAGGAAGGAAGAAATCCATATGAGCTCAGAGGGTAAGAGAAAGACAGGTTTATGAGTAGTCCTAGCATGGAAAAACTACACTGAGAAATGGTTAGTTAGAAGAGCAGTTAACATATTTTTGCTTAGGGCATAGCTGAGACTGCAAATGGTCCACTATGATGGTGGTTGGACCTTGGGTTGAAGAACAGCCTGTCTGGAGCAGATGCTGCCCCCAGGCTGGGCTCAGCATGAGAAGCATTCCCAAAATAAGCAGGATGCTTTGGAAAAACTGAGTGGAAGAGAACTGTCTCATTGCTGTTGCCCAAGAACAGAGGAGCATTTAGGAAACGTCAAAGAAAAATTGAACATGGGCCAGGTGCAGTGGCTCATGCTTATAATCCCAGCTACTTGGGAGGCTGAGGTGGGAGAACAGCTTGAGCCCAGGAGTTTGAGGCTGCGGTGAGCCAAGATCACACACTGCAATCCAGCCTGGTAGATGGAGTGAGACCCTGTCTCAGAAAACATGGCTGAAAGATACTGTTTGAAGTTGACCCTTCAGGATTTGGCAAAATTACCTAGGGGGTGTGTGTGTGTGTGTGTGTGTGTGTGTGTGTGTGTGTGGCGGGGGGAGTGGGTGGCAGGGGGTGATGCAAGTGGTAATGATTTGAAGTTGACTAGGCAGCAGTGCTGAGGGGCACCAACATCCTAAAATTATTTCCATTTGACTCAATTCAATAAATATTTCCTGTCAGCCCACTGAATGCTCACTATGCTGGACTGCCAAAAATACAAAAGACCTCAAAGACATTATAGTCTAGTCGCGGTAATACGATATTCACATTAATAATGATAATGCAGAGATTCTAGAATGACATAAAAGCATTACAACAGAGGTTTATAAAGGTATAAAATTGGGAAAAAATAAGACCAGAAAAAGCTTCCTAAATGACACACCAATGACATGATGTGTTACCATTGAATGACATACCATTAAACAAGGCCATTATTTAAATGGAGAGATGGAAGGCAATGGCACAAACAGAGAGGGTGACATGAAGAAAAGGACCTATGGCAGGATTACAGGCATGGTAATTTTTCTGAAGGGTTCCTTTCAGGGAAGGCAGCAATGGGAGTTGACGGTGGGGTAACACAGGTAATACTGAGGGGATCTCCAACAGGGAGATTTTGACATCCAACCTGCCATGTTGAGATGTCTATACTGAATAATTCAATAAGTTGTTGACACTCACTGAAGCTTTTGGAATTGAGAAAACGTTTTTCTTAGAGCTATGTCTTAAGAAGCAAAATATGTTAAGAGTGTTAGAATGGTTTGAAGAGGGAGACTCGGGCCAGAGAGACCACTTGGAGTGGGTCCGACAATAGTCTGCTTGACAGGTGTGATGGGCCAGAGTTAAGAACAGTAATGATGAAAACAGGAAGGGTAGAACTTGCTAGAAAACTCTCACAGACAAAACGTATGGAATGTGCTGGCTGGATCCTGGGGTACCAGAAGTGGGGAAGTTGGCTGACTTGAAGGATGGCCATACCACAGAGACTGTGAGTGGAAAGCTGGGTGTGTGGGGAGTAGGGAGATGTCAGCAGGCACTCGTGGAAGCTTCGAGAAGAGATATCCAAAAAACAAGGAGATGTGGCAGAAGGCCTGGGAGCTCACTACAGGGAAGTGAATGGTCAGTACTGAGGTGGTGGTGAGAAACTGCAGATGTAAATGAGATCACAAAGGGGGAAAGAACTGCAAGAGCCACGAAGTAAACTGAGGCAAGAACTGAGGAGGATGTTTCCTGAAAACATTTCTCGAATTCTGAATTTCACTGAGAATAGTAGCTCCAAAATTCCACCGATAGCTAAGTCTCATTTCAATAGTCAGTAAGCAAGAAGATGAAAAGAACAGAGCTCTTCATTTACATTCAACTTTCTCAGTGAGGGATTATAAAATCCATTTATCATTGGCAAAGTGATCACCTTTTCATTATCTTGAGGTTTCGGCTGAGAGTTCGAGGGCAAAGTCAAAACTCCATGATAAATTTTGCTGGCTTCCGTCTTTGATAATTCTCTTGCTAGCACTTTTAACCCTATCTGCCTTTCTCAGTAACAACTTCCAGAAAAGATCGATTCTATACATTGCATTGTGGACAGGAGACAGAGGACTGGATTAGAAGTAAGAAGAGATCAATTTGTGCCCTGGCTCTGGCAATTATTAGCTGTTCAATACATCCAAGAAATATGTACAGTAGCTATACATCTTACACAGAGGTGAGGTTGCAGAGTCAATGAGTAAAGGGAAAAAGGCCTAAAAGTTAATATTCCTCTAGAGATATCCCTTAGGAATGCACCACATTCCAACATGGTCAGTCTTCCCTTTCATCTTTTTTCTTTTTCTTTGAGATAGCATCTTGCTCTGTTGCCAGGGCTGGAATGCAGTGGCGCCATCCTAGCTCATTGCAGCCTTCATCTCTGGGGCTCAAGTGACCCTCCCACCTCAGCCTCCCAAGTAGCTGGTACCACAGACATGTGCCACCATGCCCAGCTGATTTTTGTATATTTTGTAGAGATGAGTCACTGTGTTGCCCAGGCTGGTCTCCAACTCCTGGGGCCAAGTGATCTTTCCACCTTAGCCTCCTGAGTAGCTGGGAATACAGGTGTGTGTCACCAGACTTGGCCAATTTCATTTTATTATTTTTTTGTTGAGATGTGGTCTCACTATGTTGCCCAGGCTTATCTTGAACTCTTGGGCTCAAGTGATCCTCCTGCCTTGGCCTCCCAAAGTGCTGGGATTATAGGCATAAGTCTAGCCTTCTCTTTAATCTTGGTCCAGATGGTTGTTTCTTCTAATGAGCACTAGATGAAGAAGTTCGTTTGAGCAGACGAGCTATGTTATGAGATAGACATATACAGTCCTTTAACATTAGTGAGCCTTGGGAAGCAAACTCCATCAAGAGAATGAGCAGACTCCTTGGCTTACTCTGGACCCCACTCATTGGGTAAAATGAAGGGCAGAGTAGCATGGCCAACACCATTTAAACCCATATAAAACGTGTGCGTGCACAAGCGTACATGTGTGCATGCATTTAATTAAGTCTGTGTAGGTTAAACAAATATAAGTTGGGACTCCATCATCTTGAGTACTGCTCATGTGCCCGAGGTATGCTAAGTGTAAACAGAAATAGGCCCGTGCAGCTGCTGCCCTTGAAGCCTATTCTAAAAGGTCACTAGGAATATACAACACAGCACTGCAAAACTGATATGGTTGGGCGCAGTGGCTCATGCCTATAATCCCAACGCTTTGGGAGGCCAAGGCAGGAGGATCACTTGAGGCCAGGAGTTCAAGATCAGCTTAGGCAACACAGTGAAATTCTATCTCTATAAAGATTTTAAAAATTAGCTGGGCATGGTGGCACCTAAAGTCCCAACTACTCGGGAGGCAGAGGCAGGAGAACTGCCTGAGCCTAGGAGGTCAAGGCTTCAGTGAGCCATGATGGTATCACTGCACTCCAGCCTGGGTCACAGAGCCAGGCCTTGTCTCCTAAAAATTTTTTTAAAGATTAAAAATAAAAAGACCAATAATAGTACAACGTTGTACGGGAGTCCAGATGAGTGAGAATCAGGAAAAGAATTTTACAGAGTGTGACTCTAAGCTGAATTAAAAAAAAAAAAAAGCACACATCAATCAGATGCAGGATAGGGAGGAAGAGCATCCGGGAGCCTCCCGGGAGAGGGACTGCATGCGTCAGGGCAGGAAGGCTGGGAGTGGCAGAACAGGGATCCGCAAGTTATCTGGGGAAGGGCGCAGCTAGAGAAGTCACTGGAAAGGCCAAGGGGGCCAGATCTCGAGGAGCTCTCTGTGTTTGGTGAAGGTGCTGGGATGCTATCCATACACCGTAGGGGAAGGGAATCCATACACAGCTTCTAAGGAGGAGAGGGATGTGATCGCATGATCATGGGTGCATGTTACAAAGGCCATCCTGTCACTGTGGAGGATGGATTAAAGCACGGAACAGGGAAACTAGTTAGGAAGAAATTATACAACTTTAAGAGAAAGAAGAAGGGTAGACGACGGCGCCAGAAGTGGAACGTGTCACGGGGGAGCGATACTATCTTGGCCGGTGGTGTGGGGGGAAAAGAATTTACCAGGAAGAATTTACCAAGACTGTTGTAGGTAGAGAAAGGTAGATTTCTTCAAGAAAGTAGGAAGATACATTGCGAAAAGGCAACGGGCAGGCCAGCAGAAGCTGACTGCAAAGAAACAAAGCCTTGCTGGAGATTTTATAGGGTAGTGTTCATGCTGAAGAGAGCTTTGTGCAGTACTGACAATGCCAAGGTTGCGGGGAGCTAATCTGCAGGTGTCTGGTGATAGCTGGTCGTGGGAAAATCGTGAATTATTGGCTCAGGAGGTTGTGTCCTGGACCATGAAGAAAGGCGGACTTGCAGCTTATCTGCTTTCCCTCTGCTTTCCCTTGATCCCACCAGCTTGACTCCTTTTCCCTAATTAGGACTCCACAGAAAACAGGCCTGTGGCAAGATCCATTTTGCTGAGTGTTTATTCTGTGCCCAGCACTTGCCCACAAGCAGGGCACTGTCAGATCTGTTTTTCTCTGGCCTCCTGCAAGGGCCTGTGTGGTTCATGCACTGCCTGCCTCATGCTCAGTCCAGCTCTCATCCTCGTTCGCTCGGCTATGGCCACACGGGCTGCTTTTCTGGCTCTGCAGACACCAGGCTCACCCACGACCTTTGCGATCCCTATTCCCTCTGCCTGGGACCTCTTTCACAAGTGCGTGGCTGGCTCACTCTCATTTTGGGAGGCAGTTCATGTGCTACCATTGCCAAGAAGCCTTCCTGTCCCATTTCATCTACAGTAGGTTGCTCCCTGTGTATTTCCCTCATAGCATTTCTCATCAACTCTAATGATCTGGCTTCTCTCTCTCTACTATTTATTGGCTGTCTCTTCCTTCTAAAATGTATCCTCCATGAGGTAGGGGCCTTATGTGTCTCATTCACTACTATTTCTCAGTACCCAGCAAAGTGTCTGGTTGCTCCATAAATATTTATTAAATGAATATCCATCTTATAGATGAAAATACAATAACAATAACTCATTTAGACCTTACATATTTGATATCTATTATTATTGTCCCATTTTACAGATGAAGTCACTGAGACACAAAAGTCAGGTACTTTGTCCGAGGTCACACAACTTCTAAGTGACAGAGCCGGGATTCACATTCAGGCCATCTGGCTGCAGGGTCCAGGCTTCTGCCATCTGTGCCATATTGCAATGCTAAGACCAAGGTTGACAGATGTCGGGGGATACATGGCTGGTGATGGAGGAGCCAGGAGTCCAACCTGGTTCTCTCTGACTCTGGAGCCTGAGCCCTTGACTTCTACACTCCAGGAAGAGCCAGATCAGCAGGGATGAGGGTAGGGAGAGCTAAGGGAGACCAGCCCGCAGGTCTGAGCTAACAGAGAATGGTGTCAAATTCAGAGACTTGCAAAGGGGAGAGTCTGAGTTTAGTTCAGAGCATGTAGAATTTGAGGGGCCCGCCACACACATTCTCTACTCTGCTTCCTGCTTTTGGAACAGGGCACATTACTCAGCCCCTCTGGTCCCGTCTTCATATTTGCAAAATGTGGATTTAAGTACCCACTGGATGGGATTCTTGTGGAGATTCAACTGAGATACTCTAAACCCATAGGCACATGTTCAGTAAACATTAATTGCCTTCATCTTTCCTGCACCTCTGCTCACATGAAAAAGCCAAAATCTCCAGGAAAATGGGCTGAATATCAGGATGAAAGAGAAAGTTTTTGAGTGGGTCTAATTATATAACCATTCCGCAAGCTGAATAAGACTTAGAATTAGCTAAGTTTCATCTTCAGAATATTCGCAGTAATTGCAATCATTCAATGAAGAATTCATTAAACTGGGTTCAATTTAAAATAAGCGGATAACATGTGCTACCTCCTTCCCTTGGATGTTTCTTTTTATTTTGATTTCTTGTTAAGCATATGCAATATTTGTCTTTGGACAAGTCATATATATATATATATATATATATATATATATTTTTTTTTTTTTTTTTTTTTTCTTTTTTCTTTTTTTGAGATGGAGTCTCACTCTGTCACCCAGGCTGGAACATAGTGGTACAATCTCGGCTCACTGCAAGCTCCGCCTCCTGGGTTCAAGCGATTCTCCTGCCTCAGCCTCCCAAGTAGCTGGGATTACAGGGTCCTGCCACCACGCCAGGCTAATTTTTGTATTTTTAGTAGAGAAGGCATTTCACCATGTTGGCCAGGGTGGTCTCGAACTCTTGACCTCAGGTGATCCACAGGCCTCAGCCTCCCAAACTACTGGGATTATAGGCGTGAGCCACCACGCCCAGCTAAGTCACATATTTTCATCTTAAACTTTCTCATCTGTAAAATGGGAACAGTCCCCTTCTTATGGGGTTTTATAAGAATTAAAGGAGATAATGTGTAAGAAATTTCCCTTGCAAATTAAGCATTGTCCAAATATAATAGAGTGACATTATTATTGAACATGTTTTTATGAGAGAAAAGGGTACGGTTAGGTCAGTTAAAATTGTACAAATGGTTAATGTTGTATCCACTCACACACCCATATGTATAAAACTAAATCTTGCCCCTCTAATATCACAGGAGGGATGTGCTTATTTGTTTATTTTCTTGGAGACCGAGTCTCACTCTGTTGCCCAGGCTGGAGTTCAGTGGCATGATCTCAATTCACTGCAACCTCTGCCTCCCGGGTTCAAGTGATTCTCCTGCCTCAGCCTCTGGAGTAGCTGGGATTACAGGCGTGCACCACACCCAACTAATTCTGTATATTTAGTAGAGGTAGGGTTTCACCATGTTAGCCAGGCTGATCTCGAACTCCCGACTTCTGGTGATCCACCCACCTCAGTCTCCCAAAGTGCTGCTTGTTAACAACCCTTAACCCACCCTGCCACCCAGTGTAGGACAAAGGGTGTCCTGCAGTGGGCCTGTGCTTTGCTCTGCCCAGCGTCACCCTGAGCAGCCTCCTCCACCAAAGCCTGTCCCCAGCCCTTGGCTTCAGGGTAGAAAAGGGACCCAAGAAATGTTGGTGAGCATTCTTCACCCCTGTGATTTGTTTATGGATAGGAATTTGTTTTTGTGGGTTTTTTTTTGTTTTTTTTTTTTTTTTTTTTTCAGAGAAGTTCTGACTCTGTCAAGTGATCCTTCTGCCTTGGTCTCCTGAGTGGCTGGAAGTACAGGCGCACACCACCATGCCTGGTGAATAATTTATTTTTTGTAGAGACAGGGTCTTGCTTTGTTGCCCAGGCTGGTCTCAAACTCTTGGGCTCAAGGGATCCTCCCGCCTGGGCCTCAAAAAGTGCTGGGACTACCGGTGTGAGCCACCGTGCCCAACCAGGGATGGGAATTTGGACCAAGCAGGGCCAATCTGAGGTCTCCCTTAAGCTGCCGCTGGAACTCTCAGGAAAAAGTATTTCTTGTCCCCCAGGAGTAACCACTGTGAAAAGCAAGTACACTTGGAGCTACTTCTGGCTTTCTGGGGAGAATTTGCCTGATGGAAGCCAGCACAGAGATGCAGAGAGATAGGGGGACCATCTCGACCTGGTTGTACCCATCAAGGTCCCATGCCCAGGACTGCCCCTCAGACCTGGGCAAACTGGGACAGTTGGTCTCCCCACAGGGAGATGACCTAGCAAGAAAGGGTCCTGAGCACACGGTTTGACTCGCTGATCCAGCTTGATTGGGAGCTCCCTTGGGCATCTCAGATGTGTGACCCGGTAACTTCTGGTGCTTGTTTAAGCTCCTTTGAGTTGAGTTTCTGACACTTGCAACCGAAAGAGTCCTAACACCCTCCCAAAGAATGTGCACATATAAATAAAAGTCACAGTTTAAAAAGCAAAATAAATCAAAGTAGGAAACACGATATTTTTAGAATTAAAAAATGAGGAAATGGGATCATGTGATCCCTTCTGAGGTTGAGAGAATTTGACAAAAGGGCCCTGAAAAAAAAAAAGGAAAACGTATACAAAATGGAAAAAGGAAACGAAATAAATGAAAACATTCTTATGGAAGAAAAATATCATGGCATGAGAAAGGTCAGAGTAATGAATGAGCAAAGACTCCAAAAGCACACTTAGTGCAGCGAGGGAAAAACAGGAGCTGAAGCCAAAGAGTGGGGTAGCTCTGTTCCTTAGAGACGAAACCACCCTGAAGTGTAAGAAGACATTCTAGCCATGGGAATGGACTGGGAAGAAGATCAACCAGCGGCCACTTGGGTAGATGCTGAACAATTTCACAAAGCGTAAAGCAAAAATTAAATGGCTTCAGGTGCTCTGCCTTGGGGAAGATAGGCAGATGAAAATGCTGCAAAAGCCAGGCACAGTGGTTCATACCTGTAATCCCAGCACTCTGGGAGGCCAAGGTGGGCATATCGGCTGAGGTCGGGAGTTCGAGACCAGCCTGACCAACACGGAGAAACCCCGTCTCTACTAAAAATACAAAATTAGCCAGGCATGGTGGCACATGCCTGTAATCCCAGCTACTTGGGAGGCTGAGGCAGGAGAATCGCTTGAACCCAGGAGGCGGAGGTTGCGGTGAGCCAAGATCGTGCCATTGCACTCTAGCCTGGGCAAGAGTGAAACTCTGTCTCAAAAAAAAAGAAAAAGAAAAGAAAATTCTGAAAGAAGAGCCGGGAGAGCTAGAGCACATGGGTTTTTCTTAAAGTGACTTAGAGCAATCATTACAAAGCTCAGAGATGTTAGAAAATATAAGGGTGTACCGGAAGTCAGAAGTTACGGCTGTCACAGCCTGATGCTCTGTAACGTGGGTCAGAGAAATCTGTGGTCCTGGAGAATTTCCTTTGAGAATGTAAGCAGAAGGGAGGGGGCTAGACACCCCATCTGTGCACAAGCCACACAGAAGAGAAGGACAACCACTTTACCTGGTTCCCCTGAAAAGGAGTGAGAGACTGGGGCCCCTAAGGACCTCTTTCTGGCCTGTTGTATCACCATTTCTAACAGTGTAGAGAGAGCCTAGTGGTTGAAAACCAAAAGAGAAGTCACTCTCAGTAGAAAGGCACCAAGAAAAAAAAAAGGCAGTGTGAAGCTCTGTGATTTACTGCTACTTCTATGAATATCCCTTCTATTCAGTCTCGCCAATTCGAACCGATTTTCACTTTGTTTTCTGAAACCATCTAATTCTAAGGTACTAATCATTTTCTCGGTCACATTGCTCTTGGGGGTGTTTTGGGAAACCTGAAATGCCTGCACAGGGTCTTGCTAACACATTTTAATTTAAGGTATTTAGGAGAAAGGGAGGCGGTCGCTTTGAGGGAAGAAATGAACAGCACCACCTGCACTTGCACGTTTGCAAAAAGATGTTTACCCTGTACGGACAGAAGAATTTTTCCTCTTAAAACATGACATTGAAAATAGAAGAGCTCAGCCCGGCGCAGTGGCTCATGCCTGTAATCCCAGCACTTTGGGAGGCCGAGGTGGGCGGATCGCCTGAGCTCAGGAATTCGAGACTACCCCTGGGCAACATGGTGAAACCCCGTCTCTACTAAAATACAAAAAAATTAACCGGGCGTGATGGTGGGGGCCTATAATCCTAGCTACTCAGGAGGCTGAGGCACAAGAATCACTTGAGCCCGGGAGGCAGAGGTTGCAGTAAGCCGAGATCGCACCACTGCACTCCAGCCTGGGCTACAGAGTGAGACTCTGTCTCAAAAAAAATAGAAGAGCTGATATTGATTAACGGCTGTGTGGTTATATAAGAACCAGATTCACATGCCAAATCTTAAATCACAAAGAATGCTCAAGTGTAAAACCATGGGAGTTACTCGAGCGTGGGATTAGATTTTCCACTGCCTTTGAAGGTAGAGAGAGGCACTACTAGGGCTAGAGCATTTGAAGATTTGTTTGCTGTAATTCACTTGTAATTTGTGAAGGCCTACCTAGAAGCAGGATATCCTTTCTCCCTGAACCAGGATGTTGCCCAGAGTCTAAGAAAGGAAAGAAACAAAGCCCCAGGACATGGCACGTTATCCTGAAAGGCATCCCTTGCAGAATCAGACAGGACAGACCACTGACATGGACCGCAATGGCCTTCCTCTCCAGGCAGTTGCTCTCTGGAGGAGCTCTCGCCTCTAATTCCTGCAAGGGAAATGGGATGCGCTTGCCAAAGTTGATGGGCAGTACATGATCCAGGCTCACCAGCCCTTCTGCCTTTCTCTCTATAGATTCCCACTAGCAGCGTGGGAGGTCTTTACATTGTTCTAGGCATTGTGTCTTCTGCAAAGAAAGGTATGTGTAGGAATGAAAGGGGTCTTTCTACCTGGGTTCCCCATTTTGTAGCTGGAGAGATTTGAGGTCCCATGAGGTTCTATGATTTACATGGGGCCACACTGTTGCAGTGAGAAGGCAGAAGCCAGCATGCCATGGCATAAACCTACAGCAAAAAAGGTGTTCTCTCTCCTAAAAAAGAGAAGAAAAGGTAGCATTCTCTCCTCTACCCATGTAGATGTCGTTCTCTCCTATACCCATCTAGATAGCATTCTCTCCTACACCTATCCAGATATCATTCTTTTGGTCTCCCAAGAGATCAGAAAGGGGTAAGGAAAAAAGGGGAATTCTTTTTCCCTTGATTTTCTTATATTATTTGACATTGATAAAACTGACCAGGCTTCTGGCAAAATAACCACAGATATTTACATTTAATAGAAACCAAAACCCATGTTTTTCTAAAAAAAAAAAAAAAAAGCAACAATTTAGACTTTTGTTAACTTATGAAATGCCCTCATCTCAGCACAATACTTAAGGAACCACTTGACTGGGACCCAACTTTTATGAATTTTAAGGAAAGAATGAAAATAGAAAGGGAATAAATATTTAAATATGAAAATCAGCTCCTAAGTACCTAATGCTCCTCAATGATATGCGAATGGTGGAAACAACAGATCAAAGGTGAAGAGAGGATGAACCCAGGCAGAGGCAGGTGCGGAAACAGTGTGCGCAGCATACGAGTGAGCCGCATTCACCAGGAAAGTCACCCTGGGATTCAAACACCAGGCATGGTATTTTCCAGAGAATGCCGGCGTGTTTATCGCCCAGCAGGCCCTGCCCTGCAGCCTGAGAGCACCTACCAGCCTTTCGAACTTGGCAATCCCCCAACAGCCAGAACAATGATTGCTTTTCTCTTGCTATAATAATGCTGTCTAGTTCATCAGAGATCCATTTTGTATTTTTCATTGAGTCCAAAGCACGCTGTTTTCTTCAGAAGAAATCCCATCATGTTTTATACACTTTAAAAAACAATCGGTCTGGTAAATTAGTAAAGATAGGAAAATTCGGGTGAGAAAGCAAGGAGTTTCTGCTAGGATCTCATTATTTTATTTGAAATAAAATGTATTTTTAAAAATCCTACACATATAATATGGTACATGCATGAGTCCAAATATTTCTCAGCTCAACAATGTCTTAGGGAGACAGCTCTGGTGCCATAGTAAAGCTTCATGCTTTACCATTCATTCACTCACTCACTGATTTATTCATCTAATATATACTTATTGAGCATTTACTCTCTGTTCTAAGCACTGAGGAGCAGTTAATGAGATAGAAAATAACCCTGGCTTCATGGAACAAATGCAGAGGAGACCAAGAACAAACCCATGCAAATAGGTAAATATCCTAATTCCACAGGGCAATAAACTCTTTAAAAGAAAAACAGAGTGGTGTGCTGGCCAATGAGGGGGAGTATCAGAGCTGCTGACACCTGAGAGCTGAGATCTGGCTAAGGGGAAGGAGCCTGTGGAGGCCTGGAGTAGGCAGGAGGGTGGCCAAGGCAAAGATCCTGGGGTAAGAGCAAGCCTGACAAATTTAGAGGAAAGAAAGAACACCAGTGTGGACTAACAGCTATTGTGGTAAAGATGTAATAAGATGATGTGTGAAAAAGAACTTGATGGACCACCAAGTGATAGCATGGAAAGGTATTACTTAGTAGTGCTAGAACATGTGAATTATCACATAAAGAACATCATTCTGGGCTAGGCATGGTGGCTCATGGCTATAATCCCAGCATTTTGGGAGGCCAAGATGGGGAGGATAGCTTGAGCTGTGGAGTTGGAGACCAGCCTGGGCAACATAGCGAGACCCTGTCTGCACAAAATTTTTTTTAAAAATTAGCCCAGTATGGTGGTGTGCACCTGTAGTCCCAGCTACTCAGGAGACTGAAGTGGGAGGATTGCTGGAGCCCAGGAGGTCCAGGGTTCAGTGAGCCATGATGTTGCCCCTGCACTCCAGCCTGGGCCACAGAGTGAGATCCAGTCTCAAAAAAAAAAAAGAACATCTTTCTGCATTTAGAAAGGACTAGGGTGAGAACTATATATGTTCCAGTTTTCATCTTCTACTTCCTAATAAAAAGTGGCTGGTTATTCTAAAGCCCTTTCAAATACGACACATTTCTTTTGCATGAAATATGGAATTGTACGTACCTGGAATCCTATTGAGTGTCACCCAGAAATGCTCATCAGGACTGAAAGTGTCCTTGGACCACTGGAGCAAATCAACAGCCCGTGGGTCATGCAGAACAAAGTTGGCAAACTCTCTTGATAGAGCCACATAGGCAGAGCCAAAGTAAATTGTGAGATTATGGGGGGGAGGCGGTTTCAACGCTGTTGTTCTTATCACATAGGAAAGCTCTTTGCCCAGGTGCTCTTGGTGGACATATTTAGTCCGTCCAATTGCATGAGCTGGGGGCAGCACCCCTGGGGTGATATTTTTACCTTTAAATCCTTTCAGATACTGAACTATTTCCTTGTTGGTTTTCAGGGGGAAGTCTTGCCCACAGGTGTTGATAACGTACTTCCATGAGACCTCGAAGGCAGAAAGATCTCTGATGCAGTTCAGGTCAGCCTGGAGCCTGGAGATCCCTCCATAGACAACGGGTTCCATCTTGGAAGCCAGAAAAGCGTTTGGGAAGCAGCTTAATAGTTGCTCTACCGCATCTTTAAATTCAGTTGTTGCTTTTTCATCCACATGAACACAGTAGATATTTTGGGGCATGTAAATAGCCCTGAAGAGCCTTGCAAAGGTGTCAAAGTGATGATGGATGACCATTATATATGCCAAGGGAAAGTCAGCTTCTTCCTTAGATAAAGGGGCTGTGATGTAGTGGCTCTGGGTCAAGTATTCCTTGCAAGAAGACTTCTCATGGATCATTAGTTTGTTTTTCCACAGGAAACGTGTTTTTCCATTGATAAAAGATGTGCAAACTTGAGTCAGCCTCAAAGGGTCTGAGATATTTAGCCTTTGGAAGCTTGGATCTCCCCCAAAATTGAACACAGAGAAGACGATAAAAATAATTACACTAGAGACAGAAATTATGAAGAGGTAACGCATTGATAAAGGCATGCCTCAAAGAAGGGTGAAATGTCAAGAGACCGTCAAAATCTGTAAGTCTTTTTTCCAAACTCACTCGTTTCTCTGAGTTCTTATTTTGCAACATACTCCACTCACTCCTGCCCTGTTGGAGACGCTGGGAATCGATTCCGTTTCATCCCGAGAGTCCAGCTGCTGTCTCTGTCCCTGTGCCGATATTACAGCCAGATCCCGCCTCTCTCAAACCTCCTTTGTTTAAATCCCCGTGGCAGGTTGCTGAAGCCCAGCCTTCCCTCCTCCCTCTGCCTCCCCGTTTGCATCTGCTAGCTGTTTTGCTAAAACTCCGGTAACTCTCTTTCCCCCGGCAGATTTAGTTTCCCATATCTCTTTCTTTCATTTCCCATGCCACCCCCGCCCCCTGGTTACTGCCATTCAGGGAATGAGCGCAGTGAAAGCCAGAGTTGAAGTGATGAGCTCTGGCAGGCGTGCCGCTTCCTGCTAGTCCCCTAGCAGGCGGCTGGACTTGCCCTCTCTTGTTGTTCGTGGCAAGGATCCACAGCCTGGCCTCTCAGCTCTTCCAGCGCAACCCACGGGATAGAAAATAGCTTCTGTTTTCCAACGTGCTGTTTCAGGAAACGTGACACAAGTGACATCTCAAATAAAAGAAAGCCTCATCCATCCCAGCTCCATTGTAATGCTTTTTTGGCCCCACCCCACTGTTTTTCAAAACAAGAGCTTACTGGAGGAGGAGTTCCTGTCCCAGGGGGTCTGAAATTGCTGGGGCGCCTTGGGCTCCTGACTCTGAAACGAACCCCTCTCCTCTCACTTCCAGCTTCGGCTGTGGTGTTTGTCTTAGAATACTGGGGTCAAAAGAAGAAGTCGTGAGCTACATCCACTGAGTTATATGAGACCTTAGAGCTTCATGGGAAATAATTTGAATCTTGGTCACAAATGATGCTCAGACAGGGGATTTGGTGGGCATTCAGGCTTTAACCCCCCCAGAGAACGGCATCAAATGCTCAGAAGTGTCATATGCCTGCCCAGTTAAGCTTATGGACCACCTAGGAAGTGGGTGTTTTTATCCCCTATTTGTAAATATAGTGGTGTTCTGGCCAAGGAGTATGAAGCTGTTTTACTTGGAAAGTTCTCATCTTCAACTTTCCACTTTCCCACCAACTAATTTTTAATGAAATGTAGATTAATGCATTTTATTTGGTATCCTCTTAAAATGGCTTGCAAAACACCAACTTAACCATTGACTGCCTGCCCATTTCCCCTCACTATTCACCTGACCTAAACAACTCCGTGCCTCAACCCCAACACGTTCACTACCCCACCCCATGCAGAAAGAATGTCCTTTAATGCACATTTTCTTCCATTTGAAAAGTCTCTACCCTGCCATGAATGGAATTGATAGGACAACACGCGGATTCCTTGCCTTCACAATGGGCAGGAAAGCAAGTGCTACCCTCCTGGGATTCAGGGGCACCCTGAACTCCGACCAAATGACACATCATTTCCTGAGCACACTGTCGCTTCCATTCTTCTAACTTTCATTGTTTACATTTTTCATGCGTTTCCAGCTTGTACATTATTTTTCTCTCTCCCTTACCAAAGTCTCCTAAATAAACTCTCTATATAACCCACCCCTGGATTTTTAGGTCAAGTAGAAAACAATACAATGAGAAAGCAGTTCAGTCTAATTCTTAGTGTCTTCTATGGAATCGAGCAAAGAGAATGATCTAAAATTTATGATAAAGAAAAATTCAATCCTAAGTTTTTCTTCTTCTGAATAATACTTTTAAATATTAGGTTATTGTGTATTCTACTCCTAAACAAAAGAGAGTAATTCAGTATCTTCTTTGGCAAAGATTTGTGGCTTAGAATGAACATTAAAATAGTTACAGTTTGACAAAGCATTCGGTGCACATAACTTAATTTGGGCAACAGAGTCTGTTTACATTATTGTTTCCAACTGGCCAATAACATGGGGGTTTGGATTTATACAAACTTAGGAGACAGACATTAATAGCATTACTATATTAAGAAATATAGACACTAACCAAATTAGGAATGTTCGTAATACTTCCGTACTCAATCCAGTACTTCAAATGGCATTGTGTGTTGAAAAATATAGTCGATTTTCCTCCCAGCTCTTTTGTCTGTCCTTGGGCCAATTTTCTCCACTCTCAGATTCTGGTATTAAAAAATCTTGACAGGAGAACTTTAAAAAAAATCCCTTATTGCATTAGAGGAAGACTGTTACCTTTCTTTTCTAATAGGCTGTACAACCTGCTTATCCAGACACCATGCACTTTTTTGCTACTGAGACTGAACAAGTCAGCCCTCCAGGCCTGCCTTTAACTATAGCTGAGGACAAAGTTGACACTAGCCAGCCATGCCTTGTCACTCACTTTGGATAGAATTATTCCCAAACTAGCCAATTAATCAGGCTAGACATGTTAACACTCCCCTGGGGCCATCTTAGAGGCTTTCTCCATATTCCGTTCATAGTCTTTTATTTTGCAGACATTATTTGAGGTATGTTTGGTTTTTTTCCTTTGAGGCAGTGTCTGACTCTGTCACCCAGGCTGGAGTGCAGTGGCACCATCATGTCTCACTGCGGCCTTGACCTCCTGGGGTCAAGCAATCCTCCTGCCTCAGCCTCACAAGTAGCTGGGATTACAGGCATGTGCCACCACGCCCAGCTAATTTTTGTATTTGTAGAAGAGACGGGATTTCGCCACGTTGGCCAAGCTGGTCTTGAACTCTTGGGCTCAAGCGATCCGCCCACCTTGGCCTCCCAAAGTACTGGGATTACAGGCGTGAGCCACCACGCCCGGCCTATTTAATGATTTTTTTCCACTTAGGATGATATGTAGAACATAGCTCCAAAGGAAAGAGAGTATCCTTTCTTTGAAATGACAGAGGACTTAGAATCTCAATGAATTAAAAAAATAATAATCAAAGGGGGAAAAGATTGCCCTCCTCCATGTGCTCAGCATCTCTTGGCTTCCCATGTGAAGGCCAAGGTACGAAAGACCTGGGGAAAACTGTGTTGGAGGCAGATGACACTGAGAGTTTGCTACATGCCAGGCTAAGTCAACTAGTGAAGGAGGTGGAAAAGACCTTGCATGAGGCACTAAAAATCTGGGACTTCATCTCCTTGCCAGAGGAGCACACAACAGGCTTCCAGTGGAGGAGCACCTCCAGGCAGGGCGTGCCAGCTGGAGGAGGATTGTGTACACATTCCCTCCTGCATCTTTCCTCTATTTAATTGCATGTACGAATGCACACTTCATTACACCCTCATAATTGTTCTGAGACTTGTTTGTCTATTGTCAATTAACCACCATCCTTTAGTTGGGAAAGGACTTGAGGGGACACAGGTTTGAGCAGCAACACTAGACATGTAAAGTTGAATGAAAGCAAAGATGGCACTGAGAAGACTGGCTCAGAGAGAGTTTGTTAAAGTCGCGTTGAGAGGCTCAGCTGCACTGGCAGAAAAGGTTAGGTAAATGGGGTGAAACTGTACCCATTCTGAGGCTCCCTGATGGCTTTCCTTGGAAGGGTATTTTTACGTGGCTTGCTCTGTCATTGAAGAAGTCAAATGACTCAGGGATTCATTCTTAATTATAAAATACAGAGATTTGTTTTTTCCCCTGACCTAAGAGTAATACATGAAAAAGTAGAGAATGCTGGCAGTCCAATTCATTTTGGACAGCGTATTAAGTACAGTCGTCCCTGTTCCAGGGATGAGTTCCAGGACCTCTGAGGATACAAAGTCCACAAATGCATAAGTCCCTGATATAACATGATGTAGTATTTGCATATAACCTATGCACAGCCTTTCTTGTACTTTAAATCATCTCTAAATTACTTATAATACCGAATACAATGTAAATGCTATGTAAACAGTTGTTATGCTGTATTCCTTAGGGAATAATGCCAAGAAAAAAAAAAAGCCTGTACATATTCAGTACAGAAGCAACCACTCTTTTTCCCCCGCCCAAGGTCGAATCCAAGGATTCAGGATCTGGGGAAACAGAGTGCTGAGGTTGGTTGAATCCAAGGATTCAGGACCTGGGGAAACAGAGTGCTGACTGTAATTCTGCTCTGGGTGGCCAGGTGGTTTGTAAATTTTTTTTTTTTTTTTAACATGATAATGATCATGATACTAACATGAAGGAAGAAGACATTTCCAAAGCACATCTTTAACTAAAACAACAATCCTCCCGTAACAAAGACATTCTCTGGATTTGTTGGATTCCCTGGGGAAAATCCTGCTTCTCCGGGGGCCCAATCATTTTACTTTCTATACCTTTCATCTAATTAGCAACAAAAGAAATTGTTGTCTAGATCACAGAACCCAAAGCATTATTTTAAATTCTCATCTCAGGCCAGGTGCAGTAGCTCACACCTGTAATCCCAGCACTTTGGGAGGCCAAGATGGGTGGATCACCTGAGGTCAGGAGTTTGAGACCAGCCTGGCCAACATGGTGGAACCCCCATCTCTACTAAAAATACAAAAATTAGCTGGGCATGGTGGCGGGCACCTGTAATCTCAGCTACTTGGGAGGCTGAGGCAGGAGAATCGCTTGAACCTGGGAGACAGAGGTTGCAGTGAGCCGAGGTGGCGCCACTGCACTCCAGCCTGGGTGACAAGAGCGAAACTGCGTCTCAAAAGATGAATAAATAAAAAATAAAAAAAAATAGCCAGGCGCAGTGGCTCATGCCCGTAATCCCAGCACTTTGGGAGGCCAAGGCAGGTGGATCACGAGGTCAGGAGTTCAAGACCAGCCTGGCCAAGATGGTGAAACCCTGTCTCTACTAAAAATACAAAAGTTAGTCAGGCATGGTGGTGGGCGCCGGTAGTACCAGCTACTCAGGAGGCTGAGGCAGAGAATTGCTTGAATCAGGGAGGCGAACGTTGCTGTGAGCCGAAATCGTGCCGTTGCACTCCAGCCTGGGCAACGGAGCGAGACTCCATCTCAAAAAAAAAAAATAAATTAATAATAATAATAAATAATAAAAATTAAAAAATAAAAAATAAATTATCTCAGAGGCGGGGAAAGAAGTTTAACATGCAGAATTTTAAAGACCCAGGCGGCAAGTCCAGAGGTGGTCTTGCCATCTCTGTGTGAGCTGGTGTAATCTGCACCTGATTTTGATGCAGCAAAGTTATGATGGAAACACTTCCTGGATGCTGAATGATGCCAAGCAAATACTTGCAAAAGACAGTATACAAAGTATTTAAATAGGCAAATGTTAAGGCGCATGTGGCTAGGGGCAGTCTTCTATTAGCATACATCTAACAATTGGAAAAATGAAAATCCTGACATTTGGGGCCTTGGAAAATGAAAACTAAGTTGCCAAAAATAGGTCACGGCCAATGAACATCTCAAGATGAGACTTACCACTGAATTTACTTGTGGAAATTGTTTAACACTGGGAGGGTGACTGACTCATTAATTGTATTACCAAAACATTGGTTTCCACAACTATCAGCCAAATTGGGTGTGTCTGTAGCTTGAGGATAAGGGTAGTACTGATTAGTGGTTTGCAAACTTTACTTTTACATCTCATCACCTGGAGGAGCTGTAGAAATACAGGTTACAGGGCCCCTGCCCTAAGAGTTCAGTAGGTTCCAGGTGAGTTTAATAATTTACATTTCTGACAAGTGTGGTGGCTCACGCCTACAATCCCAGCACTTTTGGGAGGCCGAGGGAGAGGATTACTTGAGCCCAGGAGTTTGGGACCAGCTTGAGCAACATAGTGAGACCTTGTCATTACAAAAAAATTAAAAAGTTAGCCAGGCACAGTGGTGCATGCCATCTACTTGGGTGGCTGAGGTGGGGAGATCACTTTAATTTGGCAGGTTAAGGCTGCGGTAAGCCATGATGGTGCCACTGCACTCTAGCCTGGGTGACAAAGCAAGACCCTGTCTCAATAATAATAATAATAATTTGCATTTTGGTCCCAGATAAAGCTGAAACCACTCATCCTAGGACCAAAGTTTGGGAGTCAAGGGACTAGAGCAAAATTACTCGATTTTTTTTTCTCAATGACCCTATCTCTACTTTCCCTATAATTAATATATTGTAAGAAAAAAAAAATGTTAGGCCGGACTCAGTGGCTCATGCCTATAATCCCAGCACTTTGGGAGGCCAAGGCAAGGAGTTCAAGACCAGCCTGGCTAACATGGCGAAACCCCACCTCTACTAAAAATACAAAAATTAGCCAGGCATGGTGGTGGGCACCTGTAATCCCAGATACTCGGGAGGCTGAGACAGAAGAATTACTTGAACCCGGGAAGCAGAGGTTTCAGTGAGCCCAGATTGCGCCACTGCACCCCAGCCTAGGCAACAAGAGCAAAACTCCGTCTCAAACAAACAGAAAAAATTGGGGTAAACTACTATATAATTTGGAAATACATAGTAAACATGAACTCAAATGATGGACAATCTAACCACTAGAGCAAAATTTACTATGGAAAACTAATTGGTGGTAGTAGTGGGAGAAAATGAATACACAAACACCTGGTGCTTATATTTAAATGAGAGAAACCTTGGTTACAAGTCATCTCCCAAACACCATCTCTAATTACGATACACAGCAACCACATCTGGGCACAATCCATATTATACAAAATACAGAACAGAATTATTTAACAATAAACACTGCTGCATTGAGTAGTGGTCATAAGCTGAATTCGAAGACGGTGTAGGAAAGGGATTAAAAGAGAGACAGAGAGCTACTGGGGAGACTGAGGCAGGAGAATTGCTTGAGCCTGAGAGGCGGATGTTGCAGTGAGCCCAGACTGTGCCACTACACTCCAACCTGGGTGACAGAGCGAGACCCTGTCTCAAAAAAAAAAAAAAAAAAAAAAAAAAGAGAGAGAGATTGAGAGAGAAAGGAAGTAAGGCAGAAAATACCAATTCAATTCGTGAAGATATGGAGCAACAGCAACCCTCATGCCCTGATGGAGAAGTGTGAATTGGTATGACAACTTTGAAAAACCAACAATACAATGTCTACTAAAGTTGAGCATACCTATATCCTATGACCCAAAATTCCATTCTCCAGTATTTACTCAACAGAAATGAAATATATTCATCAAAAGATATCTAAGTCAAGATTCGCTGCAGCCATATTCATAATAGAGCCAAACTGGGGACTACTCAAATGCCCACCAACAGTTACTATAGAGCAGGGTTTCTCAGCGTGGGCACTATTGGCATTTTGGGCTGAAAAATGCCGTGTTGTGAGGGCTGTGTGTTGTAGGATGTGCTGCCCTGTGCATTGTAGGATGCTGAGGGGCACCCCTGGCCTCTACCCACTAATGCCAGTAGCACCTTTTGCTTCCCTCCCTCAACCTCTGACAACCAAAAATGTCTTCACGCTGGGCGCGGTGGCACACTCCTGCAATCCCAGCACTTTAGAAGGCCAAGGCGTGTGGATCACGAGGTCAGGAGTTCAAGACCAGCCTGTCCAACGTGGTGAAACCCCGTCTCTCCTAAAAATACAAAAATTAGCCGGGTGTGGTGGCATGCGCCTGTAATCCGAGCTACTTGGGAGGCTGAGGCAGAGAACTGCTTGAACCCAGGAGGTGGAGGTTGCAAGTGAACTGAGATCACGCCATTGCACTCCAGTCTGGGTGACAGCGAGACTTCGTCTCAAAAAAAAAAAAAGGTCTCCAAATATGGGTTCTTCTCTCTATGCAACAATGAGAATGAATGAAATACAACTGCCTGCAACAAAACGGTGAATCTCACAAACATAATGTTGAACAAAAGCAAGCCAGATAGAAAAAATAACATATGCTGTATATTTCCACTTATATGAAGTACAAAAACAAGATTTTATATATCTAGATTATACCAGGAGTGGGAGGGGGCTGCCCTGGCAAGTGGAGTGGATGGTAATAAGAGGGTACCAGGAAAGTATGAGTGATGACGCTGATAGCTGGCATTAGGTGCTACACTCAGAAGGTCACTGGTGTTTGCCCCTAATCACTCAGGTAGCAATGGCTGACCCAAGACCTGAATGTGAACGGCTTTGTTCCCAAGCTCTTGCTCTTGTTGCAGCAGCCTTTTGTGGTGCCCTTTCTGGGAGGCCCAGGAATATCTTGGTGTCAGTGCCCAGATCTGCTTCACAGAAAAATCCTTTGACCTAAGGAGAACTGTGGTGTTCACTTTCATTTATTTATTTTTAACTTTTTTAGAGATAGGGTCTCATTCTGTTGCCCAGGCTGGAGTGCATGGAGTGCAGTGGCAAGATCTTAGCTAACTGCAGCCTCAAACTCCTAGGCTCAAGTGATCCTCCTGTTTCAGCTTCCCAGATTTTGATCTTTAAATACCATTCTCTATTCAGTAGAACCAGGGCTTCCTTCTTGGAAAGAATGGCTGATTGCAAGACTGGGGCAGGTTAAGTGCAGGATTAGCTTGGAACATCTCCTGTGCCAAAAAGAATCACTGGGACTTGTTGAAAGAACACACAAGCCAGCTTGAACAGGCTTTCACTGGCCAAGTCTGGGACAATTTGAGCAGTAAAGTAAGTAAAAAGAATAATGGATTATAACCCATTGAATAAATATAAATCTAAGTCCCCAGAGATATAAATAAATAAGCCAACACACAGGAGAAGGGATGGCTCTACCTAATAGTTGAATGTCAACTAATAAACACAGAAGAAGGATGAATTTTATTTAAAATTCATGATTTGGTAACGATCACAGTAAAAACTGAGTCAGGCAAGATCCAATGAATGGCAAAACTGGAGAGTGATTGTTTGATAAACAGGATATCTACTTAGTAATAAATAAAAACACTTCCTAGCTTTTCACTGGAGAAATGTGGCAGGCACTATCTTAGCCAAGTGATAAAAAGTCATCATCATTATAAGGCTCTACAGCATTATTTCCACCATATCTTTGCCCAAAAGGTATAACCTAAATTTAATCATGAGAAATCATCAGAGCTGCACTCTTCAAAAATGAGATCTTGGAAGACAAAGACAGACTGAGAAATTGTTCCAAACTGGAGGGGACTAAAGAGATATGATGGCCAAAGTTTAGCTTAAGATTCTTGATCAGATCCCAGATTCATGAAGGACATAATGAGTATAACCATGCACACTGGAATAGGGTCTGTGGATTAAATAGTAATGCTACTTATCACTTGATAGTTGTACTGTGGTTACATGGGGGTGGGTGTCTTTGTTGCTAGGAAATATGCTTTGAAATATTAAGGGATAACTTGCAAATAGTTTAAGAAAAATATATGAATAAGAGAGAGAGCAGATATGATTAGGCAAGTGTACAAAATATTATGGGTTGGGAAATATGGATAAAAGGTATACGGGAGCTCTTTATACTATTCTTGTTAAGTATAGTAAGTTTGAACTAGTTTAAAATAAAAGGTCAAAGGAAATCTTTGTGATCTCAGGATGGCAATAATTTCTTAAGGTAGGACATAAAATCATGAACCATAAAAGAAAAAAAGTGTAATGATTCCATAAAGTATATTTTTATATACAGATGGGTGTGCCATAGATTACCAACATATTATTAATGTTATCTCTGGAAAAAGATGTAATACAGAGAAGGATGAAGAAGTATGGACATGTTTTATTTTTCTTAATCTTTTGTGTACTGTTTACATTTTTAAAATAAGGATATACTGCTTTCATAAAAATCAGCTTTAAAATATAATAAATAAAATAAAAGGTTGAAAACTCACTGAGATCTTTAAATATTTTATAGATCTTCAAAGAGTAATATTTTCTTTTCTTTTCTTTTAAACGGAGTCTCACCCTGTCACCCAGGCTAGAGTACAATGGCGAGATCTTGGCTCACTGCAACCTCCGCCCCCTGGGTTCAAGCAATTATCCTGCCTCAGCCTCCTGAGTAGCTGGGATTACAAGCACCTGCCACCACGCCTGGCTAATTTTTTTGTATTTTTAGTAGAGACAGGGTTTCACCATATTGGCCAGGCTGGTCTCGAACTCCTGACCTCATGATCCGCCCACCTCGGCTTCCCAAAGTGCTGGGATTACAGTCATCAGCCACCGTGCCTGGACAACAGTAGGTTTTTAGTAGTTGAGTTTTAGGGGAGTCAAAAGCTATACATAGGTTTTTGGCTACACAGGGGTTCAGTGGGCCTAACCGCCACATTGTTGGCACTGGTCAACTGCATTTGTCTGAAACCTGTAGATAAAATGGACAAAGCTGCTCTCAGCCAGAGGTATCTGGCCAAACGGCTTCAACTGTCCTGGGTTTTGCCTGCCGTATATGCTGCTGAGATCAACGTGTAGCCCATCTGTAACCCATTCCCAGCAAGTCAGCATGCACAGACATGGCAGGGAAGCTCAGCAGTGAGGCATAAAGAACAGCAAAAGAGGCTGCCGTTACAGGAATCAGTTTAAGAAGCTAAAAACACACATCGGGAAAATATTACACATGGGGAAAAGATCAAGTCATTTCTAGCTGCCCTTGGAACTAGACCCTGCAACCTTTGGAACAACTCCAGGTTTCTACTTTCAGGCCCCACATCTTGTCAACAGTGACCTATCCATTGTAACTGATTTTATTTCTTAACCTTGCCTTTTCTTTAATTTCATTTACCCTGCCATCTTAACCATCCCTTGTATTGCCTGGGAGCTGAAAAGCAAGGAAGTCTTACACCCTCCTCCACTGCTGGCTTTTGCCTGATTCACAAAGCTGAAGACACTTGAGTCTCCCAGACCAGGACTAAACTCAGGAAAGCAGCTAAAAACAGCTTCACATGGCTCAGGATTTGAATGGAAAATTCTACAAGGGTGACTGATTTACCCTTCATGAAAACTGTTATGATTTTTCACAAGGCACGAAGGAGGTTAGGATTGCAACGATCATAGGAATTTGAAGTTCGCTTTATTCCTAATAAGGAGAATACTAGAAAGAGACACAGTTATGAATCCTTCGAGGTAAAAACAAAAGAACATGAAACCCTGTCAGAAACTGTCCTAAGTTTGTCAAGCTCAGGAACACAAAAGGTAGTATTTAAAGCAGCAAAAATCACTAAGGAAGTTTGAGCTGGCTTGATGTGGATTTAAACAAAACTCCAAAGTTTCTAGGTGGTCAAATGTCGATAGCGCAGACCAATGAGCACCCACAAAAATGGAGATCACAGCCAAGGCACAGCTCTTGCAAAATGGAAAAAGCCAAAAAAGTAAAAGCAAAGGCACCAACTAGGACTTCAGCACGAACCCTTCAGCTCACCGTGCAAGAGCTGGGAGGAAAAGGATATAGACTAGAAAGAGAAGATACAGTTTTATTAGAAAGGAGGGGGCTGGGGGGCTGTACCCACTTGATTCTTAAAAAGAGGAATGATGGTTTACATAAAATCGCAGAAAAGGAATCTAATCATAGTAACTACATATTAGGATTAAATTAAATTGCTTTATTTATTTTCCCAGCAGCTCTCTGACCACCTCATTTATTTATTTATTTATTTATTTATTTATTTATTTGAGACAGAGTTTTTGCTCTGTTGCCAAGGCTGGGGTGCAGTGGCACAATCTCAGCTCACTGCAACCTCTGCCTCCCGGTTTCCAGTGATTCTCCTGCCTCAGCCTCCCGAGTAGCTCAGATTACAGGTGCCTGCCACCACGCCCAGCTAATTTTTTGTATTTTTAGTGGAGATGGGGTTTCACCACGTTGGCCAGGCTGGTCTCGAACTCCTGATCTCAGGTGATCTGCCCACCTCCACATCCCAAAATGCTGCTATTACAGGCATGAGCCATCATGCCCGGCCCCATTTATTTATTTATTTATTTATTTAATATTTTATTTTATTTTATGTATTTATTTTTGAGATGGAGTCTTGCTCTGTCACCCAGGCTGGAGTGCAGTGTGGTGATCTCGGCTCACTGCAACCTCCGCCTCCTGGGTTCAAGCAATTCTCTGCCTCAGCCTCCCGAGTAGCTGGGATTATAGGCACCTGCCACCACGCCCTGCTAATTTTTTTGCGTTTTTAGTAGAGATGGGGTTTCACCAAGTTAGCCAGACTGGTCTTGAACTCCTGACCTCGTGATCCACCTGCCTCAGCCTCCCAAAGTGCTGGGATTACAGGCGTGAGCCACCGTGTTGCCTATTTTACTTTTTGAGACAGAGTCTTGCTGTCGCCCAGGCTGGAATGCAGTGATGTGATCTCGGCTCACTGCAACCTCCGCCTCCTGGGTTCATGCAATTCTCCTGTCTCAGCCTCCCAAGTAGCTGGGATTACAGGCGCACACCACCACGCCCGGCTAATTTTTGTATTTTTACTAGAGACGGGGTTTCGCCATATTGGCCAGGCTGGTCTCGAACTCCTGATCTCAGGTGATCCGCCCATCTCGGCCTCCCAAAGTTCTGGGATTACAGGCGTGAGCCACCAGGCCTGGCCCATTTATTTATTTTTTAAATGAGTCTTAGCTATTTTCTTGGTCACAGGATTTAGGAGTTACAGACCTAAACTAACATTTTGTCCATATAGTGTGTCCTTAATTCAATGTCAGACAATTTCATCTCCTAATCGACTCCATTTTAAATTCAAATGTAATCATCTTGACACTGACACTTACTAGCTGGGCGTCCTTGGGCAAGTAATACAGACTCCATATCTCAGTGTCCTCAGTGATTGCAACAATCTTAATTCAAAGAAATAACGTCCAAAGGGCACTTAGTCCTCTTCTAAGAAGATATATCAAAGGCCAACAAGTACATGATGCCCAACATCATTGTTAATTAGGGACATGCTAATCAGAACTATAAGAGGATACCACTTCACACTCACTAGAAGGGCTAAACTAAAAAAGATAGACAATAACAAGGATATGAAAAAATTGGAACCCTCATACACTGATGGTGGGCATGCAAGATGTTGCAATCCATTGGAAACCAGTTTGGCAGGTCCTCAAAATGTTAAACATAGAATTAACATTGGGGGCTAGGTACAGTGGTTCACGCCTGTAATCCCAGAACTTTGGGAGGCCGAGGCAGGTGGATCATTTGAGGTAAGGAGTTTGAGACCAACCTGAACAACATGGTGAAACCCTGTCTCTACTAAAAATACAAACAAGTTAGCTGGGTGTGGTGGTGTGCTCCCGTAGTCCCAGCTACTTGGGAGGCTGAGGCACGAGAATTGCAGAGGTTGCAGTGAGCTGAGATGGAGCCACCGAACTTCAGCCTGGGCGACAGAGCGAGACTCTGTCTCAATTTAAAAAAAAGGGCCGGGCGTGGTGGCTCACTCCTGTAATCCTAGCACTTTGGGAGGCCGAGGCTGGTGGATTACTTGAGGTCAGGCGTTTGAGACCAGCCTAGCCAACATGGTGAAACCCCGTCTCTACTAAAAATATAAAAATTAGCCGGGTGTGGTGGCGCATGCCTGTAATCCCAGCTACTTGGGAGGCTGAGGTAGGAGAATCGCTTGAACCCGGGAGGTGGAGGTTGCAGTGAGCCGAGATCATGGCATTGCACTCCAGCCTGGGCAACAAGAGTGAAACTCCGTCTCAAAATTAAAAAAAAAAAAAAAAAAAAAAAAAGAATTAACATAGGGACCAGCAGTTTCACTCTTGGTATCTACCCAGGAGAAATGAAAACATGTGTCCCCATAGTGACTTGTTCAGGAATGTTCATAGCAACATTCTTCACACAAGCCAAAAGTAGAAGCAACCCAAATGTCCATCAATGGATGAAAAAATAAACGTGGTGTATCCATATAATGGAACAGCATCCATTCCTATAAAAAGTGAAGTACTGATTCACGCGATAACACGGATGAACCTTAAAAACATGGCAATAAGTAAAAGGAGCTACGCATGAAAGAACACATATAGTATGATTTGGTTAATATGAAATGTCCAGAAAAGGCAAATCCATAGAGCCAGAAAAGCAGGGGTTGGGTGTGGAAATGGGAAGTGGTCATGAGGTTTCTTTGTGTAGTAATAAAATGATTCTACATTAGCCGGGGATCATGGTTGCATAACTGTAAAGGCACTAAAAATCATTACATTGTACACAAAAGTGGGTGAGTTTTATGGTATGTAAATTATATGTCATAAATTTCACCCTATGTAAATTATACCTCAATAAACCTGTTACCTTTAAGAGGGGGAAAGGCAATTAGTTTAGTGCGTAGCAGTGTAAGAACTTACAGGATGATGATGATTGGCAAGCCTTCTAGAAAATCTTTATGGTGCCTAAAACTGGGGCAGGAAACAGCTGTAACTCTGTCGATCTGTTGTAGATTCTATCAGTGACTTGGACGGTAGAAACCTGTTGGATATTTTTTCTTTTTTCTTTTTAAATTTTACATTGCAGGTCTCATTAGCAGAAAACTGCTGGATTTGTATGAAAGCAACAACACAATTGGTTTCATACTAGCAACGTAAGGTGAATTTGAATTCAATCTGACGCCAAGCTTTGTGTTGGTTGAGGCTCGCAAAGATATAAAGCTCCCTACCCTCCAAGATTCTGCTTTCTGGCAGCAGCAATAGATGATTAAACCGCAAACCCTAACTACAGTGACAACAAAAAGTATTTGGAGCACAAAGGACAAACTGCTCTGCCTGAGGGTAGGGGCTTGTCAATGATTTAGGAGCAAGACCAACTCAACTGGGTCCTCAAAGATAACCAGGATTTTTGCAGGCTAAGAAAAGCCTAGGGGGAAAACTAGCTCAAAGGCAAAGAGGTCTGTTTGAATTCCCTGAATTGAATTCAGAGTCCCTTGAATTCCCTGCAATTACATAGGGAATTCAAGTTGAAGCCAAATCAACTACTTCAACTACATTTTCTGAATATTTTAAATCACAGCCTCTCAGGGCCAAAATAACTCTGCTAACTTCCCTTAATTAATGATTTTACTTTTCTAGACCTGAACTAAAACGTATAGGAATTTGACCCAGCGATCCCATAGATCCAAAGGAATATAAATCATTCTGTCATAAAGATACATGCACGCGTATGTTCACTGCAGCACTATTCACAATAGCAAAGACATGAAATCAACCTAAATGCCCATCAGTGATAGACTGGATAAAGAAAATGTCGTATATATACGCCATAGAATATTATGCAGCCATAAAAAGGAACGAGATCATGTCCTTTGCAGGGACATGGATAGAGTTGGAAGACATTATTCTCAGCAAAGTAACGCAGAGACAGAATACCCAAACACCGCATGTTCTCATACGTGGGAGCTGATTGATGAGAACTTATGGACACATGCAAGGGAACAACACATACTGGGGCTGGTGGGGGGCGTTGGCAGAGGGAAAGCATCAGGAAGAAGAGCTAATAGAGACGCTGGGCTTAATACGTAGGTGATGGGATGATCTGTGCGGGTAAACCACTGTGGCACACGTTTACCTATGTAACAAACCTGCACATCCTGCACACGTACCCGAACTTAAAATAGAAAGAAAACAAAAACAATATACAAATTCAGTCCTCAAAACGGATGGAGGGTAATTGATACTGACCCTAGCAATCAGATGACTAAGAACTCCCAAAGGCAGACCACACTCCCAAGAGTGTTTTCTAATGGATTTAGCACAGGTGGCAGCAAAGGATGTTTGTCCTTTGAAAAAGTTGGTGGAAGTGATGGGGGAGTTGGGGTTTAGATTTAGGAATCCCACCCTGTGGACTGCTTAAAAGCTGAGCTAGAATTGAAAAATCAGAAAATAAACTTCCTGTAATGCTGAAGGGGAATTTTCTCCACTTGTAGAGAACATCTTATTAGACATGCAGACGATTTCTCTTCCATTTCTCCGTTCCTCATGCAAAGTGATATTGGAAGCCCACTCAGTGATGAAGCTGGATAAAAGTCTAGGTCCTGGGCCAATCATTAGGTTGCCTGCTCACATTTGGTGTGCTGGTGGTTGGGGGTGGGCAGGGCCCGGGCATAGAGGGAACTGAGATCTACACAAATTGTTAAGATGCAATGGAAGAGGTGCTGCAAGAGAAGTGTGGATAAGGTGGGGCAGGGGAGCTGCTTCTGCAGGAGTGTAAAGCAGCTGAGGCCGTGACTTTTCAACTGGATCTTGAACAGAGGAGAATGAGCAGCAAAGATAAAGAGTATTCCAGAACAAAAAGACAGCATGAACAGGTTGTGGAGGCCATTTGGCTTCAGACAAGTCTAAAGTGAGAAGCCTGGAGAGGTAGGAGGCTTTAGTCACAGAATGCTACTTCCTGGTACAAGACTACAGACAGGTGACATTGCTAAGAAGAACTATACCCTAGGGAACCTCTTCAGCCACATACCTAATTTATTCCTCCCTTCCTCTCTCCCTCTCTTCCTTCCTTCCTTCCATCCTTTACTTTCTTCCTTTTCCTTCCTTCCTTTCCTTCCTTTTTTTTTGAGATGGGGTCTCACTCTGTCACCAAGACTGGAGTGCAATGTCACGACCACCCCTCACTGTAGCCCCGACCTCCCGTGCTCAAGCGATCCTCCTGCTTCAGCCTCCCAAGTAGCTGGGACTACCGGCACGCGCCTCCAAGCCCGGTTAACTTTTGTATTTTTTGTAGAGATGGAATTTCACTATGTTGCCTAGGCTGGTCTCAAGCAATCCTCTGATCCTCCTGCCTTGGCCTCCCAGTGTTGGGATTACAGGCATGAGCCATCATGCCCGGCCTCACATACCTGATTTCTAACCAAAAATTAGACCTTATGCTTTCAAAACCAAATGTTAGAAGGTTTTGTTTTTTGTTTTAGTTGCACATAGAATTTTTAGAATCGTAACATTAAAACCTCAAAAATCAACACCTGAGAAGTTCATCTGTTTTCTCTCTCTCTCTCCATTTAATGAGTTTCTATGATGTGCCAGGTATAGTTTGTGTACTCTCTAATCCTTCAACAGTCCTACAAAGAGATATTTTATCCCCAGGATATAGATGAAGAATCAGGCTCAGTGAAATGAGGCATTTGCCCAAAGTTAAAGAGATGGCGGGGCCGGGCGCAGTGGCTCACGTCTGTAATTCCAGCACTTTGGGAGGCTGAGGTGGGCGGATCGCCTGAGGTCAGGAGTTCGAGACCAGCCTGACCAACATGGAGAAACCCCGTCTCTACTAAAAATACAAAATTTGCCAGGCGTGGTAGTGCATACCTGTAATCCCAGCAACTCGGGAGGCTGAGGCAGGGGAATCGCTTGAACCCAGGAGGCAGAGGTTGCAGTGGGCCGAGATCGCACCACTGCACTCCAGCCTGGGCAACAAGGGTGAAACTCTGCCTCAAAAAAAAAAAAAAAAAAAAAAAAAAGAGACGGTGAGCTGTAGAGATAGGCTTTAAACTCAGGCCTGTTTGTTTCTAAACCCCACCAGTGAGTGTGAGCTACTCTCCAACTCTAATAGAGAGTAAACAAATCTTTAGACTATTTTTCCAAACCATTCACCAGTCCACTTAAATCTTAAATGCATTCTAATTGATGTCATCTGACTATACTCCAGCTGGGCCCAACCCTTATTTTTTTCTTTCTCATCAAACTACTTTTAGCTTCCTCAGTATAAAATTAAGATAGGTCCCCATAGGAAGAAACATTATTTTTTGGTTTTAAAAAGGAAATTGCTACCTAAAGGAGCAACAGAATATTAAAACAGGGTCATGTCTCTGGTTATTCCTCTGAGATCCCAGAAGATGGTATAATTGGCAAAGCAAAACTATTTATATACATTATCATTATTATGTAAGCCATTTTTGATGGTAATATATATGGATACATAAAATGCATACAAATCAATTAAACTACATATTGGGGCAATTTCTGATCTGGGGAAATTACAATCTTTTTATAAACTCAAAAAAAAGTCAAAATCATTAGCAGTCCTCAGTTGTGCTGTGTCACTTTATGACTTTCAGCAACTAAGCCTGTTATTCCATAACAAAACATAGATGCCATGAGATCTATCAGGGTTTATATTTAAGGTGTCATGGGTATAAATTCAGGAAAGAATACAGACGGTCCCTGACTTATGAGAGTTCAACATATATATATATATATATATTTTTTTTTTTTTTTTTTTTTTTTTTTTTTGAGACGGAGTCTCACTCTTGTCGCCCAGGCCAGAGTGCAATGGTGCGATCTCAGCTCACTGCAACCTCTGCATCCCAGGTTCAAGCGATTCTCCTGCCTCAGCCTCCCGAGTAGCTGGGATTACAGGCGTGCACCACCATGCCTGGCTAATTTTTGCCTTTTTAGTAGAGACGGGGTTTCATCACGTTGGCCAGGCTGGTCTCGAACTGCTGACCTCAGGTGATCTGCCCACCTCAGCTGCCCAAAGTGCTAGGATTACATGCGTGAGCCACTGCGCCTGGCCTCAACTTATAATTTTTTTTACCTTATGATGTGTGAAAGCCATGAGCATTTAAGTAGAAACCATATTTTGACTTTTGAATGTTGGTCTTTTCCCAGGCTAACGAGGTGCGGTAGGATACTCTCTCATGATGCTAGCAGTGGCAGGCCACCCCAGCTCCCGGTCAGCTATGAGATCATGAGGGTAAACAACTGAGACTGTACTCTATAGTGCACTGTATTCAAGAAATCACATGACATAGACACCACTTTATTATAAAATAGGCTTTGTGTAAGATGATTTTGCCCATCGGTAGGCTAACAATGTAAGTGTTCTGAGCATGTTTAAGGGAGGCTAGGCTAAGCTAGGATATTTGGTAGATTAGGTACATTAAATGCATTTTCTTTCGTTTTCTTTGTTTTGTTTTTTTTTTTTTTTTTTTTTTTTTTTTGCGGCAGAATCTCCCTCTTGCCCAGGTTGGAGTGCAGTGGCACAATCTCGGCTCACTGCAACCTCCGCCTCCCGGGTTTAAGCGATTCCCCTGCTTCAGCCTCCCAAATAGCTGGGATTACAGGTGCCCGCCACCACGCCCGGCTAATTTTTGTATTTTTAGTAGAGACAGGGTTTCACCATGTTGGCCAGGATGGTCTCAAACTTCTGACCTCTAGTGATCCACCTGCCTCGGCCTCCCAAAGTGCTGGGATTACAGGCGTTAGCCACCCCACGTGGCCATTAAATGCATTTTTGATTTATGGTATTTTCCACTTGCGATGAGTTTCTTGGGATGTAACCCCGCTGTAAGTCGAAGAGCATCTGTAGTCTAACTTAGCTGGGAAGGAGGAAGAAGAAAGTAAGGATAGAGTGTGAGCCACAGAATGCCCGAAGAACAAACTCAGTGATCAGTGAAGAGGGAAGACAATGGTTAGCAAAGATAAGATCACTTGCAGATTAAACTCTTCCTTTCTTCTTCTAGGGAAGTGATTAATGCCATTGTTTTCTTGATAATCTACCTATTTAAAAAATGAAGTCTGTCAGGCCATTTACCACCTTCCTAAGAAACTGTTTCCCTGAGAAGAACTCACAGGTGGCCGAGAGTGGTGGCTCACACCTGTAATCCCAGCACTTTGGGAAGCTGAGGTGGGCAGACCACCAGGTCAGGAGTTCGAGACCAGCCTGGCCAACATGGTGAAACCCCATCTCTACTAAAGAGGCAAAAATTAGCCAGGCGTGGTGGCGGGCGCCTGTAGTCCCAGCTACTCAGGAGGCTGAGGTAGTAGAATCGCCTGAACCCGGGAAGCAGAGGTTGTAGTCCCAGGTACTCGGGAGGCTGAGGCAGGAGAATTACTTGAACCCAGGAAACGGAGGTTGCAGTGAGCCGAGATTGCGCCACTGTACTCCAGCCTGGGTGACAGAGTGAGACTCCATCTCAAAAAAAAAAAAAAAGGAACTCACAGGTGTCCCAACTCTCTGATTTCCTTTTCTAGAAGTTGACAAGAGACCGGGCACGGTAGCTCACGCCTATAATCCCAACACTTTTGGAGGCTGAGGTGGGTGGATCACGAGGTCAAGAGATCAACACCATCCTGGCCAACATGGTGAAACCCCGTCTCTACTAAATATACAAAAAATTAGCCGGGCACAGTGGTGGGCGCCTGTAGTCCCAGCTACTCGGGAGGCTGAGGCAGGAGAATGGCGTGAACCCGGGAGGAGAACTTGCAGTGAGCTGAGATCACGCCACTGCACTCCAGCCTGGGCAACAGAGCAAGACTGTCTCAAAAAAAAAAAAGAAGAAGTTGACAAAAACCGATATTTCTGGCAGATATAAAAAAACAGAGATTGCTTAAGCGGAGCTAATAGTAAAAATCCCCAAATCTTCCTCCCCTTCAAGTCTGTCCATTCGCCTAGCATCTCAGAAGCTCTGTGTGCTCGATTGGTTTGGGGAATATCAATTCCCTCTGCACACAGTAAGATCCCAGCCACATCCCTGGGGCTCAAGGATGAGTTCCCAAGACCACCTTGATTCGGATCTGCCCTTCTCTGCTCCCAAATTTGCATCTCTCAAGGTCTCGGCACCTGGAACCTCAGCATTGCATTTTTACATATAGAGGAACTAACGGGATATATCAGCCTCAAACAGTGACAAAGAGTAAGGCCAGTATGGACTCTACAGGAAATAGAAATACAATGAGCCACCCACATTTAGGGTTCAGGGGAAGATGCCTGCCATGGAATATCCAATAGGGCTAGTCCGCAGGCTGGCTCCAGGGGAAAAACAAATTGGAAGCAGGGAGGGTCTGTCTTTCGGGCCCTCAATCACCCACCAGGTATCTTCCTTTCTCTATTCCTTCCCCTTTGGACACCTTGGCACTCCTTCCTCCCACCGCCCACAAAGCCTGCTCCCAGGAAAGGCTGTTTTTGCATTCATTCCTATTTTAATGTGAGTTTGAAACAAACTCCCATGGAGTTATATTCAAAATACTCCTTTGTAGCAAGTGAAACAGAAATCACTGGTCAGTTTTGAAATGTGTAAAATTCAAGGCACACATGACCAATGGAATAAACTCACTGAATGTCCCTATTACAGGCAGAGCCATCCAACCCAGAGGATCAATAATAACTCAGGAGGAAAGTGGGAGGTGGATGAACTTGCATCTTGGGCTTATAAATGGAAATCATCCACAGCTGAATCACACAAGAAACTAAAAGGCATGCCATCTTGTTGTGGACCAGATTAAGGGTAAAAGACGGAAGTGGGGAGAGGAAAAAGGGAGGGCAGGAAGCCCTAATTTCATAACAGCTAGTGAGGCTTCTTGGACATCTTTAAAGCCATATGTGAACCCCCTTTCTGTAACACTGTTCTCCTCATGGGCACCTTCACCTGAGCAGGCCATGCAGAGAGTCTTATCCTCTGAGAGGCCTCCAGAGGACCTGCTGGATGGACCATGTTTTTGTCTGTTTTTGTTTTTGAGATGGAGTCTCGCTCTGTCACCCAGGCTGAAGTGCAGTGGCGCGATCTCGGCTCATTGCAACCTCCGCCTCCCAGGTTCAAGCGATTCTCCTGCCTCAGCCTCCTGAGTAGCTGGGGTTACAGGCATGCACCACCACACCCGGTTAATTTTTGCATTTTTAGTAGAAACGGGGTTTCATCATGTTGGCCAGGCTAGCCTCAAACTTCTGACCTCAGGTGATCCGCCCACCTCAGCTTCCCAAAGAGCTGGGATTACAGGCGTGAGCCACTGTGCCCGGACCCATGTTTTGTTTTGCTTGCTTATTTATTTATCCATTTTTTGAGACAGAGTCTCACTCTGTTGCCCAGTCTGAGGGTAGTGGTGCTATTGCAGCTCACTGTGCCCTTGACCTCCTGGGCTCAAGTGATCCTCCTGCCTCAACTTCTCCAGCAGCTGAGACTACAGTGCATGCCACCACGCCTGACTATTTTTTGATTTTTTTTTGTAGAGACAAGGTATCTGTGTTACCCAAGCTTTGCTTTTTTAAACCACATGACCCTGCCACCCTGGTCACAGCTGATTGGACAACTTGGGGCTACATAAAGGGCAGCTGCCTGCAAAGACGTCAGCCGCAGCCTGAGAGGTGGTGTGGAATGAGAACGGGGATCCTCATTGTTTAATACAATGGCTGCATGACCCAAGGCAGGACTCTCTGGGGACATCTGAATGGGACACAGAGAGCACTTGCTGTCAAGAGAGCAGCATGGGCCAGGCACAGTGGCTCACGCCTGTAATCCCAGCATTTTGGGAGGCCAAGGCAGGTGGATCACCTGAGGTCAGAAGACTAGCCTGGCCAACATGGTGAAACCCCGTCTCTACTAAAAATGCAAAAATTAGCCAAGCGTGGTGTCATGCACCTGTAATCCCTGGTGCTGCGGAGGCTGAGACAGGAGAATTGCTTGAACCCAGGAGGAGGAGGTTGCAGTGAGCCAAGATGACATCACTGCACTCCAGCCTGGGTGACAGAGCGAGACTCCATCTTAAAAAAAAAAAAAAAAAAGAGCAGCATGGAATCTGGCAGATACCAGGGGAAGACATAGGAAGTAGAACCCACAGGGTGGAGGAGCCCATAAACCAGGGGAAGTGCTGAAGCACAGGCAAGAATTTCAAATAAAGTAGAAGCAGGCAAAGCAAAACCAGCAGAGGTGGAGACTCTGCGACATGAGGACGGCCAACGTCTCGGTGCTGCTAGGGCGGCAGAGCCTGACCACTGCACCAGCAATGAGGATGCGTGGTCCACCTCCCCTGCCTGTGGTCGCAGCCACAGGCCACAAGTAAAAGTGATGTTTCAAACTGAGTTAAATAAAATACATTCTTTTTTTTTTTTTTTTTTTTTTTTTTGAGACAGAGTCTTGCTCTGTCACCCAGGCTGGAGTACAGTGGCATGATCTCAACTCACCACAACCTCTGCCTCCTGGTTCTCCTAAATCGCTGAAGCGATTCTCCTGCTTCAGTCTCCCGAGTAGCTGGGGTTACAGGCACAAGCTACCACGCCTGGCTAGTTTTTTGTATTTTTAGTAGAGTTGGGGTTTCACCATGTTGGCCAGGCTGGTCTCAAACTCCTGACCTCAAGTGATCCGCCCACCTCGGCTCCCCAAAGTGCTGGGATTACAGGCGAGAGCCACCACACCTGGCATAAAATACATTCTTTAAATTCATATTATCTGCTTCTTTTTACTTCTTTTAATGTGGCTCCTGGAAAATCTAAAATTTGATTTTAGATCTATGGCTCCCATTATAGCATTCCTATTGGGCAGTGCTGTTCTCCCTTCCCATGAGACCACTTCAGCTGTGAGATGTTTTTCTGGACTAATTTTTTTTTAAATTTTTATTTCTGAGATGGAGTCTCACTCTGTCGCCCAGACGCGAGTGCAGTGGCAGGATCTTGGCTCACTGCAACCTCCGCCTCCCAGGCTGAAGTGATTCTCCTGCTTCAGCCTCCCGAGTAGCTGGGATTACAGGCACGTGCCACCACACCCGGCTAATTTTTGTATTTTTAGTAGAGATAGGTTTCACCATGTTGGCCAGGCTGGTCTTGAACTCCTGACTTCAGGCGATCCACCCAGCTCAGCCTCCCAAAGTGCTGGGATTACAGGCGTGAGCCACCACACCTGGCCTGGACTAGTTACTTTACAGAATCCTAATCATAATCCCTCAATCATGACAATGAATTGGAACAATCTCAAAATGTCCCTCGCACACCTGCCAAAAAAAAAAAAAAAAAAAAGCAAAAACCACAACATATACACATCAACCAGAAGGACCCTTACAACGGAAAATGGCTCAGATCTCCACATAGCCGGAATAATAATTAAACAAGACAACCCTTAGGTTTCTAATTCCCTAACCTCCTACATTCAGCCCTGCCTCAGGTCAGGAAAGAGTTGGCAGGGCTTGCCCGATGTGGTGGCTCACGAGGCTGAGGCAGGAGGATCGCTTGGGCCCAGGAGTTCAAGACCAGCACTGGCAACACAGCAGGACCTCGTCTCTACAAAAGTTAAAGTTAGCCAGGCATGGGGGCACATGCCTGTAGTCCCAGCCTCTTGGAAGGCTTGAGCCTGGGAGGTCAAGACCAGCACGGGCTGGGTGCTGTGTGGCTCACACCTGTAATCCCAGCACTTTGGGAGGTTGAGGCCGTGAGCCGTGATTGTGCCACTGCACTCCAGCCTGGATGACAGAGTGAGATCCAAAAAAAGAAAAAAAAGAGTTGGCAGAGCTGGTCAGGGTCCTCCGGCAGTGTTCCTCCACACACATAACACAGAAATGACTTCAGGGGCTAACTTTTGTTAAGTTTCTGAAAAACATGAATTGGTGCATTTGTTTTCTATTGCTTTGCCAATCTGTTACTGCTAACACGGGGTGTAAAAATCCAGCTCCAATAGATACATCGAGTCGAGAAGTCAGGGGGTTTCCCTTAAGTTTCTGTTGAGTCCCCTGATTAGGATCACAGACTCTGAGAGTGGGAAGGGACTCGGAGGCCATCCGGTCCAATCCTTGAGGTTTCCTCAGCAGCACTTCCCCAGCCCTGCTTCCCTTGGCTTTGCTCACCATTGAGGAAGCTGCCCGTTTTATTCCCAGCTCCATGTGTTCTCATCTCCCACCCGCTGGCCCTAGATTCTACTTCCAAAACGACAGAGTTGGTCTAATTTCTCTTTCCTGAGCAAATCTTTTAATTAGGTAAAGACACCGATCCCTCTTCAAGTCTTTTCCAAATCAATTATCCTTTTTCTTTGTCTTGGTCTTCTCTAAAAAAAAAAAAAAAAAAAAGTGGGGATTGGCCTTTTTACCTCCCTGGCTGCTCTCTTTGGAACTGCTGTGTCAATGTCTCCCCGTATAGTAGGGTGGCCAGACCTGAAGAGTCTACATCCTACTCCAAGCACATGGGAGAGAAGTGAGGCTTTCACTTCCCTTACTCTGGACACTACAATTCTATTTAAACAGCTCTGTGCTTTCCCCACCAGACTTTCCTGAGCCCTAATTTCTTTTGATCACTATACTTCCCCTTCTGGCTCTGAGAAAATCACAGACTTAAAGAGAATTCTAAGCCTATGAAGCTTTGTATGCCAATATCTAAAACAAGCACCTGCAATGGTTTACACCCCTGGCTGTACATGAGAATCACTTGGAAGCTGTACAAATATCAATAGTTAGGTCTTGCCCCAAGGAGGGAAACAGGCCCTGGCTTAGTTATTTTTAGAAGCCCCAGATGATCGTAATGTGCATCCAGGGTTGAACCAGCAATCCAAAGAAACCAGGACTGTGATCTTCATACAGGTTCCAGTTACTTTTTCCTTTGAACTGCAAATATGAATTCTTATTTTGAATTGAACTAGCAGGACTAAATTGGTTCACTATAAACAACTTGAGATTATTCAAAAATCATTTGGAACTTGGACCAAAGGAGAGATGGAATTGATTTAGCAACAATTGAGACCTTATTGAAAGTCAACCTAAAAAGAACATCAGGCTTAGGAGACCTGGTTTATAATTGGTGCATTTGCTTACTAGCTGTGGGATTTGAGCACATCATGTAATCACATTGAAGTTTCTTCATCTATAAAATGGAGGTACTAGTCTAGAAATCTTTTTTTTTTTTTTTTTGAGACAGAGTCTCCGCTGGAGTGCGATGACGTGATCTTGGCTCACTGCAACCTCCGCCTCCTGGGTTCAAGCGATTCTACTGCCTCAGCCTTCTGAGAAGCTGGGATTACAGGCATGCGCCACCACGCCTGGCTAATTTTTGGTATTTTTAGTAGAGACGGGGTTTCACCATGTTGGCCAGGCTGGTCTCGAACTCCTGACCTTGTGATCCGCCCACTTCAGCCTCCCAAAGTGCTGGGATTACAGGTGTGAGCCACTGCGCTCAGCCTAGAAATCTTTAAGGTGCAATAAGGTTTTTTTGTTTGTTTGTTTGTTTTAACTTCTTGAAAAAAAATAGAGACAGTGTCTCACTATGTTGCCCAGGCTGGTCTCAAACTCCTGGCTTCAAGAGATCCTCCTGCCTCAGCCTTCCAAAGCGCTGGGATTACAGGCGTGAGCCACCATGCCTGGCCATGCTTTAGATTTTTGATTCAAGACCAGAAAAGAGCTTGCAAATAAAAAATTTGAAAGTTGTATCTTGCTCCCATTTCAAAAGGATGGGAGCTTCAACAGAGACAAAAATATTATGAAATCTTCAAATTGTCATTCAAATTTTATTTATAATACATATTCCTGATTTTAAATGCGTTGCGCTTAAAGGAGAATAAGGTTTACATTTTATTTATTTATTTATTTAGAGATGGAGTCTCGATCTGTCACCCAGGCTGGAGTGCAGTGGCACAATCTTGGCTCATTGCAACCTCCGCCCCTTGGGTTCAAGCGATTCTCCTGCCTCAGCCTCTCCAGTAGCTGGGATTGCAGGCATGCACCACCACGCCTGGCTAATTTTTTTAGTATTTTTAGTAGATACAGGTTTTCACCATGTTGGTCAGGCTGCTCTCAAACTCCTGACCTCAAGTGATCCACCTGCCTCCGCCTCCCAAAGTGCTGTGATTACAGGCTTGAGCCACTGTGCTCGGTCACGTTTTTATTTATATGGCCAGTGTTCCTTCGGTCTTTTGTCCTGTGAACAGAGCGGTTCACAAGAGTGGGTGATATAACACATCTCCATTTTACCATTTTACAGATGAAATTTTTTTTTTAATTTGACATTTAAAACCGTAAAGAAGTTTGTCCCATTTTTTCCACTCTTTTCAAAGCAACTTATTTAGTATTGACCATGCAGTGTTTATTCGTAAAAATAAAAGTTAAGAGACGTACATACCGGGAATCCTGTTGAGTGTCACCCAGAAATGTTCGTCGGGGCTGTAGGTGTCCTTGGACCAGGAGAGTAAGTCAAGTGCGAGCTGGTCTTGGAGGACGAAGTTAGCAAAGTCCCTTGTGAGAGCCACGTAGGCCGTGCCAAAGTAAATCACCATGTCATGAGGAGGAGGAGTTTTTAATTTTGTTGTTTTAATCACGTAGGAATTTTTGTGGTTTAACAGTTCTTGGTGGACGTATTTAGTCCGTCCAACAGCGTGGTCAGGAGGCAGCACTCCGGGGGTGATATTTTTCCCTTTAAATCCCTTCAGATACTGAACTATTTCCCTGTTGGTTTTCAGGGGAAAGTCTTGCCCGCAGGTGTTGATGACATACTTCCAGGGAACTTCAGAGGCCACAAGGTCTTCCAGGCAGTTCAGGTCAGCCTGGAGCCTGGAGATCCCCCCATAGACAACCGACTCCTTCTTGGAAGCCAGAAAAGCATTTGGGAAGCAGCTGAGTAACTGTTTCACTGCACCTTTAAAGGCATCCGTCGCCTTCTGATCCAGGTGCACACAGTAGACATTTTGGGGCATATAAATCGCCCTGAAGAGCCTCTCAAAAGTGCCGAAGTCTTTGTGGATGGTCACTGTGTAAGCTAAAGGGAACCCAGCCTCTTCTTCAGAGAGTGTTTCTGTTACATAGTGGCTTCGAACCATGTACTCATAGCAGGTAGCTTCATCAAGGGTAGTTTTCAATGCATTTTCTGTTGGGTAAAAAACTTTCCCCTCAAAAATCTGATGACAGGCTTCTGCTAACAGTGAAGCATTGGACAGAGCTGCCCTCAGAAAACGTTTATTCTCCCATAACTCAGTATTGTAAACAAATACAAAAATCAGGGCAGAGATAAGAGACGCGCTAAAAAGACAGTGCTTCCAAGAGCCCATCATTCACAACCAGGAAATGAGTAAAATATCTCTCTCTTGAGATAGGATCAGAGTGTAGATATATTTAACTTACATTTTCTCCAGGTTCCGAAATCATCCTCGTGATGGCTGAAGCTCTCGTCTGGCTGTTCCCTGTCCCTTCAGTTCACGGTTCTGGTCCTTTTTCTTTCTTCTTCCCCTCTTCACTTACCACTAGGTTGCATTTTCACTTTTCTGTGACACATTTCTGAAGTGGCTCCTTTGCATTTGGCTTGCCTGTTCTCCTGCTAACCTGCAACCTGTGTCTACACAAAAACAGATGTCCTCAGAGAGGTTCTGATTCCAGGGGGTCCACCTGTTCCCACCATGAAATTACAAGTGGGTGAGGTGACCATTCTGCAAGTCATCGGCTCTAAGACCTTAACCTCAGCCTCTTGTCCCGGCCAGAGTCTAGTAACTATGTCCCCTCCCCTGCTTCCTGTTAATCATTGTGTTCAACAGCCTGAGTTTATTTGCTTAAACTGCACTGCCAAGCTACGAGCTTCAGTTTAAAGCATGTGAATACTGCCTGGAGAGATATTCTATCAATAAATATGTAGTGCTTTAAAAAAATTGCTTAACCCTGTCTTTTTCCACAGCCACACCTCGCTCTCCCCATTGGCTGGGTATGCTATACGACATGGCATATGACTGGCTACTGGGCTAAATTCTTTCCAGGGCTTAATTTTGTCTGCTGCTGGGTAAAGTCCTTTAAAATGCCCATTAATTAGCAAGCTTACCTCACCACCTAACTTACTGCACAAAGTGACTGTGGCACTCGGATGAATAAAGGCTAACTTCTTTTTTTAAAACAACAAAACGACCAATAGCCCATCATCACCCAAAATTGCATACAGGCTAACATAGTGAATTTCAAGTTTATTTTGCCCTGGTCCGCATAGGATGCAGACAGAGAACCCTGATGCTTAGAGGAAGGAGAGAAGAGCATCTCAGTCTTGAATTTTAGGAGAGAGGCTCTTATGTCCAGATTTACAAATGCTTTAAAGGAGGCTTTTTTTTTAATCTGTAAAAAATGAGAATAATTTTACCACCAGAGGTCAATTGTGAGAATAAAATGAGATAACATATACAGAGTCCATCGCCGTGTCCAGGAACAGATTGGGGTGGTAAAGCAGCAGCAAAATGGTACTAAACAAGAAGTCCGTTCACACACACGCATGCATACACACGTATCTCTTACCCCACACTCATACTTCTAATAAATGACACAATTACCTCTCCTTTGAAATCTTCTTACTCTTCCCTTACTCCCTCCTCTGTGAGTCCATGCCAATCAGATTATACATCTAAAACGTCAGCGACGAGTTTTGTATGATGTGGTGGTTAGCTGCACCCGGTGTGAAAGCATGTTCCATTGGCGCCGAGCTCATGTATTCCTCATGTTTCTGGCTCCTAGCATTGTCTGTATGTAGTAGACAAGCAACTTTTTATTTTATTTTATTTATTTATTGAAACGGAGTTTCGCTCTCGTTGCCCAGGCTGGAGTGCAATGGCACGATCTCGGCTCACTGAAATCTCTGCCTCCCAGGTTCAAGCGATTCTCCTGCCTCAGCCTCCCAAGTAGCTGGAATTACAGACACCTGCCACCATGCCTGGCTAATTTTTGTATTTTTAGTAGAGACGGGGTTTCACCATTTTTGAGCAGGCTGGTTTCAAACGCCTGACCTCAGGTGATCCACCCGCCTCGGCCTCCCAAAGTGCTGGGATTACAGGCGCGAGCCACCGCACAATCAACTATTTATTGATTGAATGCTCAAGTTTTCATTTCCCTGCTTCCCTGATCACATTAGTGAGAAATTCCAGGTAATACTGATTTGTAGGAGATATATATTTGTATCTGTGAATGTGGTACAGTCAATAAACCTAATTTTTCCAATGTATCTTCTAACTTTTATTAAATGTAATTAATTAATTAATTTACTCTTTTGTAGAGATGGGGGTCTTACTGTGTTGCCCAGGCTGGTCTTGAACTCCTCAAGCTATCCTCCTACCTCAGGGTCCCAAAGCTTTAGGATGACAGCTGTGAGCCACTGCACCTGGCTCATTTTCTTAATCACAAAGACGACATAATATCGTAGATAGTTTCTAAACACAATGTTTCCACGTCCTGTACTTTCATTTACCTCTTGCCTATAGGAAATACACATTCTTATTTTATCAAGAACACAGGGGAGGCTGGGTGCAGTGGCTCACGCCTGTAATCTCAGCACTTTTGGGAGGCCAAGGCGGGAGGAGCTCGAGGCCAGGAGTTTGAGACCTGCCTAGGCAACACAGCCAGGCCCCATCTCTAATAAAAAAAAAAGAACGCAGGAAGATGCAAGCTTAAATCCTGCATTCTGCACTTACTATTATACAATAACATTTTCCATAGTGCTTCTTGGTGTGCCTTGGGTATTATCTTCACAATCACTACTTTAGAACCTGGAGTTATTCCTGTTGATTTTTCCGCTAACCCAGCTAAAAGCGAACACATTGAGACGGCAGCCAACCCCATTTCACGGTGTCAGGAACACAGGAAATGATGACAAGAAAGGACACAGGGAAAATTCTCTAGAACACAGTGAGTCAGTTCTCAGTTGCTTCTGGAATCAGATTCTACAGCGTGACTCAGGTACACCCAGTTGTGCCTATAGGGCCCCCAAAATAGAATTTAATCAACCCAAATATCTATTTTCTTAACTATCTTTCATGCGTCTATCCAGAATTCTTTTGAACAAATCACTTCTTCAATACAGAACGCATACAAAATCAATCTTTTCTGAAATGACTAAAATTTCTCTAATTTTTAGTTGACTTTTAACGTCTCTTTAGACCCTGTCCATATCAAATGAAATACTATAGGAATGATTAAATGAAAATGTCAATGCTGAATTATGCTTATCTAAACTAGTCAAGTAATTTTTACCATATTTTCTCCTAATTTATCCAGACAATTACATCAGGTGTTTGTTTGACTCTTACCTCATTCTTGGCCTAGTTCTATCCCTCCAGACATTGCAGACATAGAAGCATCTTGAATTATTTGCCTGCTCTTCGAATTTACAACTCACTGGATTTAGTTGCAGGGTAACGAACACTTGTATTTTGTGCTCTGCTGCAAGTACAAGCAAAGTTCATACGTCTTTACTTGTACCTTACCTGTAATGCTAAGACGGTCCCTTGATTTTGAGCTCTGGAATATTTATGATTCTGTAAAATAGTATCTTTGACAATGCTAGACATTTAAAAAAAGAATTAATATGAACCTATTTCCTTTTTCATCAACCCAGTGCCAGCTGGTGCATTTTATTTTGGTAGGCACATGGGACACGCTGGTCTTCCAGACCCTCCAGCTTTCCCAATGCCCTTGTACAATCTATCAGTAATCACTCTCCTCAATTCTGGGCTCTAGGCTCTTGCGTTTGTGTGATATAATGGGAGGAGATGGTAATCAGGGAGTGACCAAAAGGACGCGAGATTGTTCATCCCAGGTTGAATTTCAGATCAAAATTAATACCCCCCAATTCTAAGTCGGAGGCACTGATCAGGTGGGATAAATAAAGAGTTCTGAACAAATTGGGAACCAGCAAAGACTTATAGTTTGGTTGCTCAATAACTGGCAGGGTGTATATTATGTTCAATCACTAATTGCTTATTTCTCCATAACACATACTCTTATAAATTCTCACTCTCCAGGATGTAAACTAATTTTCATTGCACTAAGACACTGCACTTAGAGTTTAATCTCAATAACTGACTGTAGAAAGAGAAGCAGAAAAAAAGGGGTTCCTTTCTACAGACAAGAATCCCATCATCCTCACCTTAATTATTCATGGACCATATGATGCCCAAAGCACTTTTCACATATTCATTTTACCATGACATCACCTGTGTGCCCAAATTAGAAACCGGGGGGGTGGGCCGATGGAAACTTTCTCAGTGTCTGTGAAAGCCTGATGCAGTCTCAGAGGAAGAACAGCTTGGATTAAACTGGTTTTTAATCTGAAGGGCAACACATTTTGTCCTTTTTCTTTTCTTTCTTTCCTTTTCTTTTTTTTGGGGGGTGGGGGACAGAGTTTTGCTTTTGTGACTCAGGCTGGAGTGCAACGGCACAATCTCAGCTCATTGCAACCTCGGCCTCCCAGGTTCAAGTGATTCTCCTGCCTCAGCCTCCCAAGTAGCTGGGCTTACAGGTATGCACCACCATGCCTGGCTAATTTTTGTATCATTTTGTCCTTTTTCAAAAAGACAACCTTTTCCTGTCCTCCTCTCTGCCTGCTCTTTCTTATTTATGTGTTTTCTCTTGACAAGTTCGGTACCCTGCTTTATCCTCATCACTATTTCTTTTTAAGCATAGGTTATAACCACAGGCTTCCAGCAACAGGGCTTAAATAGTATGGTTAAAAAGAGCCCTGGATTGAGTTAGAGACCAGCCTGACCAACATGGAGAAACCCTGTCTCTACTGAAAATACAAAATTAGCCGGGCGTGGTGGCGCATGCCTGTTAATTCCAGCTACTCAGGAGGCTGAGGCAGGAGAATCGCTTGAACCCCGGGAGGCGAAGGTTGCGGTGAGCCGAGATCGTGCCATCGCACTCCAGCCCAGGCAACAAGAGCGAAACTCCGTCTAAAAAAAAAAAAAAAAAGCCCTGGATTATGTGTCAGAAAGTTTCCGTGGACCAAGGCCACTCTTAACAGGCTTGGAGCCGTTGAATAAGTCATTTGATTTATAATCACAGCTTCCTCTTGGAGTGAATTTGAGAAAACAACACCCGTTTGTTGAAAAACAAACCAAGATCCAGCATGGATCTCGCAGGCTGTAAGGGGCTCTGCTGTTACTTAGAGCCTCCAACTCCCAACTGTGGCTTCCTTCCTAGCCAGATCACCACACCTCTTAGTCTTGGTTTTTTTTTTTTTTTTTTTTTGAGACAGAGTCTCGCTCTGTCACCCAGGCTGGAGTGCAGTGGCGCGATCTCGGCTCACTGCAAGCTCCGCCTCCCGGGTTCAGGCCATTCTCCTGCCTCAGCCTCCCGAGTAGCTGGGACTACAGGCGCCCACCACCAAGCCCGGCTAATTTTTTTGTATTTTTAATAGAGACGGGGTTTCACCGTGTTAGCCAGGATGGTCTCGATCTCCTGACCTCGTGATCCGCCCACCCCGGCCTCCCAAAGTGCTGGGATTACAGGCATGAGCCACAGCGCCCGGCCTTGGTTTTTCAAGTCTAGAGTCAAGACAACAGCAATCTCCAGGCCATGCTGGGAGGATTCTGGAGGTAGGGCACCTAACGTGCTCAGCTCAGGGCTTCTAGAGAAGTCAGAGCTAATTCCAGACCTGGATGGAAAGCTGTGGGGAAGAAGAGGCTACGAGGGGGAAATGAAGTGGGTTGTGATCGTTTAACAAAAAATAGCTGGGAAAAAAAGTAATAGGAAACTATAAGAGAAAGCTGGTCTTTTTTTTTTTTTTTTTCTTTTGAGACGGAGTTTCGCTCTTGTTGCCCCGTCTGCAGTGTAATGACGCCATCCCGGCTCACTGAAGCCTCTGCCTCCCGGGTTTAAGCAATTCTCCTGCCTCAGCCTCCCGAGCAGCTGGGGTTACAGGCATGTGCCACCACACCCGGCTAATTTTTGTATTTTCTTTTTAGTAGAGATGGGGTTTCACCATGCTGGTAGGCTGGTCTCGAACTCCTGATCTCAGGTGATCCGCCTGACTCGGCCTCCCAAAGTGCTGGGATTACAGTCATGAGCCACACCGCGCCTGGCTGAAAGCTGGTCTTTTCAAGCTCAGTCAAATAACTTTGAGGCAATGCAAGACTGAGCAAAGTTAAATAGCAGCTCAGTTACTAGGCGGAGTCGAGGCCTTAAAGGCACTTTCCGCCTGCGTTTGCACATGAAAAGATATCTGACAACTCCAGGCTTTCCAAGCCAGGGTCTCCGGGAGAAGCCAGAGCTGGAGAACCTCATTCGTTTTAAGTCTAATTTTACTGTTGCAGAAAGTTACCCTGGAGTTGAGGATTGAGTGTATTCTATAAATGGGATATTATGAGAAGCTAGAACAGCAGCCCAATCTCCGTGCCCGAGGCTTTGTTTGTTGTTTTCACCTTTCTGGATGGAGTTTTGCTCTTACCCTCCCGACCTCTATCGCTCAGAAAGTCCTTGATAGGATTTTGAAGTTACAGGAACCAAAAATTACTGCCATAGGTAGAATACTTCCACAAGGGAGACCTCAAGCTTCTGATCACTAAGAATAATTACATGAAAGAATATAGCCTCCCTTCTTCCGATAATTGCAATATGCTGTTCAATCAGAACAGAGTGCAAAGAAACAGATCCTTTACGCTGTAGGGTCCCCAGGGCCTGGGATTACAGTCTCCCTATTTCTTCTGGAAAACCACAGCCTACAGGTAACTACCCTCTATTTGGCCAATCTACTACCAGGTGCAGAAAGACTATTTACAAGTGACGACTCTCAAAGGCCTACATTTAAAAATAAGGAAAACAGAAAAGTAGCTTTGAGTTTGGCAAAACCTGAATTTACTTAGTAGACCTGTCTTTAATATCAGAAGATGGGTTTTCATAGAATGGCAATATGGATCTACTACTTTTCTACATGGCCCAGAGCTTCATTTTCAATTTTACCTATTATCAAATGAGGTTCATACCTCACAGGAATGTTCATACCTCACAGCAACTAATTAAATAAAATACATTTCAGGCTGTGGACGGTGGCTCACGCCTGTAATCCCAGCACTTCAGGAGGCTGAGGCAGGTGGATCACATGGAGTCAGGAGTTTGAGACCAGCCTGGCCAACATGATGAAACCCCATCTCTACTAAAGATACAAAAATTAGCCGGGCTTGGTTGTGCATGCCTGTAGTCCCAGCTACTCAGGAGGCTGAGGCAGGACCCAGGAGGTGGGGGTTGCAGTAAGCTGAGATCGCACCACCGTACTCTCGCCTGGGTGACAGAGTGAGACTATGTCTGGAAAAAAAAAAAAAAATTTAAATGCCAGACAGTACCAAGTACCTTATCAAATTCTGGAAACATTTTCCCTTGCCTGAAGGAACTGAGAAACATAAACCATTAAGTCTGAAGTGAACGTTGTTCTTTCCTACAAAGTTAAAAGTTGTAACTGAGATACAGAAGGATACTAATGATTTAGAGACAGATGGAAAACCCTCGTGCCCAGTAGGCCCATCATGTAATGAAACAACATACAAACATGCTATTCTTTGAAAAAAAAAAAACCTTTGAAAACAGAAATCTCATGACCAAATGACTCATTCAACATTTTTTGGTGTACTTACTTTATGCCCGGCACTGTGCTAGGTTCTGGAAATATAAAACATCCACGCAGCCCATTTGAGTACCAGCCTATTGGACCTTAAACTGCTGTCAGCGATTTAACAGAGGTAACACGAGAAGACCAGCTCCCCGCAGTTTCCTCCCTCCACCAGTTTCCCAGCACGCTGACCTCCACCTACCTCTCTCAGTTCCCAGGAGGGTAAGATTGCCCAGAGGCGTCCAGCAGTGAACACAGTAAGCCTGTTTAAGGTAAACGCAGTTTAACCCTAGCGTTTTAAGTGGAATAACAGAGGCTGGAATGTGAAAGTGGGAAGGTCTGTTTGCTTTCAGTCCCACCCCCAAGGCCTGCCCTAAGAGTCTGAGACAGGAGAACACACGTCTACAGAGAGCCTGCCTAGAGTCTGGATTTTTTAAGCTGCTGGATACCAGGTGCTACCTGACACCAGCTCATCCCCTGCCTCTAGAGTCCTGGAGGGCTTTGAGTTGATCACTTTCCACTCCAGGAATGTTATAAGAAACCGCTCAGAAAGGTAACTGCCCTGGGTGTAACTGGGTTTTTCATGAGGACACTCCAAGATAGACCTCAGGATAATTATTTGGGTGTTTTCCTAAGACTACCCTCCATTTTGCCCCCTTAGAGGCTGCTTTTTCAAGAGGGGAAGTTTTGGATTCCCTCACAGACCCCTCGTGTTTAAGGTTCCACTCTTATGTTTAGTTATTGGTAGGAAATCTTATAGTCTCTGCCCCAGGGTAACCTCTAACAGATTTAGATATGTGTTCTGCTCAAATGCTACCCACACTGGGGAAGGGGAATCCTAAGGTGGCAGCAGAATTTAGTAGAAAATGCCCTGGGCATTTTCAGAAGGCAAGTTCTCTCCTCTCTAATGCAAGCTGTATATCTTGAGCAAGTCACTTCCTCTCTCTGAACCTCTGGCTTTTCCTAGGCCAGGCAAACGGGCTCTTTACATACCCTTTCAGGAATGAACTGATTCCTGTCCCAGGAAACAAGCTAGTCATACCGTGCATTTAGCCATATCCCTCTCTTCTGCCAAACACTTTGCAGTCAGAAGCAGCTTATAAAATTCAGTGGGGATAAAGCAGGGTATGGTGGTGTGCACCTGCAGTTTCAGCTACTAGGGAGGCTGAGGCGGGAGGGTTGTTTGAGCCCAGGAATTCTGAGACCAGCCTGGGCAACATAGTGAGACATCAACTTAAAAAAAAAAAAAAAAAAAGAAAAAATCCAACTGAGTTAAAAAAAATTTTTTTCCAGTCATAAAGCCAGGATAAACTGAAGAAATAGCAAATCAACTTTTTTTTTTTTTTTTTTTTTTTGTGACAGAGCCTTGCTCTGTCACCCAGTGCAGTGTCACAATCTCAGCTCACTGCACCCTCTGCCTCCCAGGTTCAAGCAATTCTCCTGCCTCAGCCTCCTGAGTAGCTGGGACTACAGGCATCCACCACTATGCCCGGGTAATTTTTGTATTTTTAGTACAGAAAGGGTTTCACCATGTTGACCAGGATGATCTTGAACTCCTGGACTCAAGTGATCCACCCCTCTTGGCCTCCCAAAGTGCTAGGATTACAGGCGTGAGCCACCACACCCGGCCCAAATCAATGATTATTTTTCTTTTCTTTTTCGTTTTTTTTTTTTTTGAGACCGAGTTTTGCTCTTGTTGCCCAGGCTGGAGGGCAATGGCACGATCTTGGCTAACCGCAGTCTCTGCCTCCTGGGTTCAAGCAATTCTCCTGTCTCAGCCTCCGAGTAGCTGGGATTACAGGCATGCGCCACCATGCCCTGCTAATTTTTTGTATTTTTATTAAAGACGGGGTTTCTCCATGTTGGTCAGGATGGTCTCGAACTCCCGACCTCAGGTGATCCACCCACCTTGGCCTCCCAAAGTGCTGGGATTACAGGTGTGAGCCACTGCACCTGTCGTCTGTTTTCTTTTTCTTTTCTTTTTTTTTTGAGATGGAGCCTTGCTCTGTCACCCAGGCTGGAATGCAGTGGTGCAATCTCGGCTCACTGCTACCTCCGCCTCCTGGGTTGAAGCAATTCTGTCTCAGCCTCCCAAGTAGCTGGATTACAGACGCCTGCCACCACGCCCGACTAATCTTTTGTATTTTTAGTAGAGACGGGGTTTCTCCATGTTGGTCAGGCTGATCTCGAACTCCTGACCTCAAGTAATCTGCCCACCTTGGCCTCCTAAAGTGCTGGGATTACAGATGTGAGCCACCCCGCCTGGCCAAATCAACAATTCTTAAAATGACCTATTTTGAAAAGACTAAAAGAAGCCCAACTGTTTTAACAGCATTTATTTTAGAGTTTTAGGATTATGGTAAATTTTACTTTCTTCTATGTATTTTTTTCCTATTTTCCACATTTTATAAAATGGTCATGAATTATTTTTTTCTAATTGGAAAGGAACAATTTTAATGGTCGTGACTGGTTATCTTCTCCCTCATCTTACGCTGCATTGTGTGTGTTGGGCCCAGATCTACAATTCAACTTCCTCATGAGCGCATGAGTCAGCATTTCTTCATGGCCTGTCATTCTGTACTGTTTGCAAAAGTATGAAAAATAGAGACCAGCCCATGGGAATTTTGCTGGAGAGGTAAATAAAATGCTCCATACAATTCTATACCTTTTACCAACCAAAGAATAAAATCATCAAATATCCAAGTATACATCAGTATTTTACAAACCCAGACTTTAGTGATGAAGGTAGGGAAAAAAGGATGACTGTCCTGGAGATTCAAGACGGGGTCTACTTATTGGGAAAGAGCCAGTTAAGTCAAATCATCGCAGCAACGGGTGATTTTTTCCTTGGCAAATTACCTAATTATTTCACTATTTCATTATGCCTATTCAAATGATCTCAGTCCTTGCCAGCTCCTTACAGCCTCCATTCTTTGCTGGAAATACCCTTATCCTTTCACCTCCTGGCCACCCAACCTGTTCTTCTCCATCACAAACAATAGAGCATTGAAATTCTGTGCCTGCCACCCAGAAAACTGGCAACCCACAAAGAACAAGAAAAATGGCTAACATACCTTTAAAATATATTCATCTTTAACAAATTATAAATAACAAGAGTAGCGCAGTTCTTTTTCTGTTTAATTCAAGTAATTTTTTAAAAGAAATACATTAGGCCAGGTGCGGTGGCTCACGCCTCTAATCCCAGCGCTTTGGGAGGCCGAGGCGGGCAGATCACTTGAGGCCAGGAGTTCGAGACTAGCCTGGCCAACATGGTGAAACCCCCTCTCTACTAAAAATACAAAAAAAATTAGCCCGGTGTGATGGCACATGCCTGTAGTCCCAGCTACTTGGGAGGCTGAGGCAGAAGGATCTCTTGAACCTGAGAGGCAGAGGTTGCAGTGAGCTGAGATAGCACCACTGCACTCCAGCCAGGGGGACAGAGAGACTGTCTCAAAAATAAAATAAATACATTAGAATACCACTGTTAGCAGACGTGTGATCACACACTGGTGGACTGATGGAAAATTAGAATATATTTTGGAAAGCAATTTTGCAATATGTATCAAGAATTTTAAATGTGGCTATCTTTCAATCCAGTGAATTTTAATTCCAAAGACAATAATACTAAAATGTGGCGAAGCTTATGTGAAAAGATGTTACTTACTTTTGATGTTATTCAGTATTGACTAAAATAACATTTTACACAGTAAAAAACTAGGAACGAGGCTGTAATCCCCTCACTTCAGGAGGCGGAGCCAGCCGGGCCAGCGGCTCATGCCTGTAATCCCAGCACTTTGGAAGGCTGAGGCGGGCGGATCACAAGGTCAGGAAATCGAGACCATCCTGGCTAACACAGTGAAACCCCGTCTCTACTAAAAATACAAAAAAATTAGCCAGGGGTGGTGGCGGGCGCCTGTAGTCCCAGCTACTCGGAAGGCTGAGGCAGGAGAATGGCGTGAACCCAGGAGGCGGAGCTTGCAGTGAGCAGAGATCACGTCACTGCAGTCCAGCCTGGGCGACAGAGTGAGACTCCGCCTCAGAAAAAAAAAAGGAGGCGGAGCCAGTAGGATAGTTTGAGCCCAGGAGTGTGAGACCATCCTGGGCAACATAGCGAGACCCCACTTCTACAAAACATTTAAAAATTAGGTGGGGCGCAGTGGCTCAAGCCTGTAATCCCAGCTACTCAGGAGGCTGAGGCAGGAAAATCGCTTGAACCCGGGAGGCAGAGGTTGCAGTGAGCCGAAATTGTGCCACTGCACTCCAGCCTGGGTGATAGAGCAAGAACCTGTCTCAAAAAAAAAAAAAAAAAAAAAAAAAGGAAAAAACGAACTATTGAGGAATTGGTAAGCAAACTATGGTACATCCATACTATGATAAAATACAATATGTCATATTTTTAATCACATAGGGAAACTATTATGATATAGTGTTAAATGAAAGTAGCAGGATAAAAAAATTACATCATCAGTATAACCTAACTACATGAAGCAATACACAGAGAAAGAGGTAAATAATGCTAAAATGCTAACAGAAATTACTTCTCAGTTTTGTATAATGCGTAGATTTTACTTTCTTGTTTATGCTTTTGTTTTTCCCAGAGTTTCCGCAGTAAGATTGAATTTTATAATAAGAAAAGAATGTTTTAAAATGTTCTGCCCACGGATAACTAGTAGAGGATTTTAAAATTTTATACGAAGGATGACTTCCTGAAGACTCATGAAGGCTGGCCCACAGAGGGTTTCTACCCATCAATCCAAGTGAGGCCAGCATGTGGACATGGCCCAAACACAGTTGACAGACAGTTCACCTGGAAGATGGTTCTGAATTCTTGAAAAAATTTTTTTTTTTTTTTCAGAGATGGAGTCTCGCACTCTCGCCCAGGCTGAAGTGCAGTGGCGAAATCTCGGCTCACTGCAAGCTCCGCCTCCTGGGTTCACGCCATTCTCCTGCCTCAGCCTTCCGAGTAGCTGGGACTACAGGCGCCCGCCACCAACCCCGGCTAATTTTTTTTGTATTTTTAGTAGAGACGGGATTTCACCATGTTAGCCAGGATGGTCTCGATCTCCTGACCTTGTGATCCGCCCGCCTTGGCCTCCCAGAGTGCTGGGATTACAGGCATGAGCCACCGTGCCTGGCCAAATTCTTGAAATTCTTAATGGATTTTTAAAACTTTTTTCATTTGGAGAAATTTGCATTATTTCATATTGTTCTTATAGAAATTTTATTGACATTCTCAGATCTCAAACTTTTCAAATGCGTGTAATATAGATTCACAGAAAATGAGATTATAATGAATAATCCAATCCATATTGAAGATACTGAATTTCTAGACAACATATTATCATTGCTTAAAAAAGAGTTTTGGGGGCTGGGCGCAGTGGCTTAAGCCTGTAATCCCAGCACTTTGGGAGGCTGAGGTGGGCGAATCACCTGAGGACAGGAGTTCGAGACCAGCCTGACCAACATAGAGAAACCCCGTCTCTACTACAAATACAAAATTAGCCGGGCGTGGTAGCGCATGCCTGCAATTCCAGCTACTCGGGAGGCTGAGGCAGGAGAATCGCTTGAACCCGGGAGGCGGAGGTTGTGGTGAGCCGAGATTGTGGCATTACACTCTAGCCTGGGCAACAAGAGCGAAACTCCATCTCAAAAAAAAAAAAAAAAAAAAAGTTTTGGGTGTCATATCAGAGATTCAAAGATCTCAGAAAGACAAACTTCACATATTCTCACGTTTGTGGGAGCTAAAAGTTAAAATAATTGAACTCATGGAGTTAGAGAGTAGAAGGATGATGAGCAGAGGCTGGGAAAGGGAGTAGGGGTATGGAGGGAAAGGGGGAGGGTTAATGGGTACAAAAACAGAAAGAATGAATAAGACCTAGTATTTGCTAGCATAACATAAGTCAAAAATAATTTAATCGTACATTTTAAAAGGAATAAAAGTGTAATTGGATGGTTTGTAACACAAAGGATAAATGCTTGAGGTCATGGAGACCCCGTTTACCCTGAAGTGATTATTTCACATTTCATGACTGATTCAAAACGTCTCATGTAACCCATAAATATATATACCTACTGTGTACCAACAAAAAATTTAACAAAACATAACATACAATGACAGCAGAAATTTAATAAGGATGTTCTATAAGCTAACAGTCTATTTAGTGACACATAGAAGCATAATTTATTTTATTTATTTATTCATTCATTCATTGAGATGGAGTCTTGCTGTGCCACCCAGGCTGGAGTGCAGTGCTGCAATCTTGGCTCCCTGCAGCCTCCACCTCCCAAGTTCAAGTGATTCTCCTGTCTTGGCCTCCTGAGTAGCTGGGATTACAGGCCAGTGCCACCACACCTGGCTGATTTTTGTATTTTTAGTAGAGACAGGGTTTCACCATGTTGGCCAGGCTGGTCTCAAACTCCTGACCTCAAGTGATCTGCCTACCTCGGCCTCCCAAAGTGGTGGGATTACAGGCATGAGCCACCGCACCTGGCCAGAAGTATATTTTATATTAATTTATTGAAACATATGGAAAGCAGTCAACAGGATATTCATTAAGTCTAGAAACACAGATGGGTATACATAACTTCATCAAGACCATTTTCAATGTGTAACACACACGTGTGCGTGCACTCACAGAGTTTAGACTTTATGTAGATTGGAAATCAAGTTCCACATACCTGGAATCCTACTGAGTGTCACCCAGAAATGCTCATCAGGAGAGTCAGTATCTTTTGACCACTCAAGTAAATCAATGGCCCTTAGGTTTTGAAGAACAAAATTAGCAAATTCCCTTGTAAGGGCCACATAGGCAGAGCCAAAGTAAATTGTCAGATGGTGGGGAGGAGGCATTTTTCTCATGCAAGTCCACAGCATGAAGGAAAACAAGCTATCTCTGCTCCAAGTGCATGTATTTGGTCCTTCTGATAATATGAGGAGGAGGCGGCACCCCGGGGGTGATATTTTTCCTTTTCCGTAACCTCAGATACTGAACGTATTTCCCTGTTGGTTTTCAGGGGAATTCTTGCCCACAGGTGTTGATGACGTACTTCCAGGGAACCTCAGAGGCCACAAGGTCTTTCAGGCAGTGCAGGTCAGCCTGGAGCCTGGAGATCCCTGTGTAGAACAGAGACTCCCTCTCAGAAGCCACAGAGACGTTTGTGAAGCAGCTCAGTAGCTTTCTTACAGCGTCTTTGAAAGTGACTGGGGCCTTCTGATCCACATGAACACAGTAGATGTTTTGGGGAGTGTAGATGGCCCTCAAGAGTCTTTCAAATGTATCAGTCTTTGCGGATGACCATGACATAGGCCAAAGGGAACTCGGCTTCGTCTTTGGACACAGGTTCCATTATGCAGTGATTTCGGATCAAGTATCGCTGGCAGGTTATTATTTCTCAATGGCGTCACTGGTATATTTTCATCCAAGAACATTTTCTTGCCTGTCACAATCATGCCACACACTTCTGCAAGGACTGAAGAGTTTGAGATCTTCCCCCATGGAAGATATTTTTGCGGGACCTAATAGTTACTATACAGGAATAAAAGAGTTATGGACGTGGCCATAAGCCCTAGGACCAACCCAAATGCCTCTACCTTTATTTTTCCTATGGTCTTTTCTGGATTCATCATTCACCTGATTTTATGCCATTGCTGAAGTCAGTCTGCAGGTCCCTGCCCAGACTTGAGAAATGTGCTCTAGCAACTTATTTGCAGCAAGAAGTGCAATATGACCATTTACTTAAAAGAAGGAGGATCAACCACAAGTCGGTAGCTCTTCTATTTAAAAAATCAGGTGACTCTTTGAACATGAGCCAGTGGGGCCAGCTGACCACTTCACAAAAGCCAGGCACAGTTGGGCACCTCTGTCTAGGTCAACCACAAATTAAGACCCTAGCAAATCGGCCACAGCTGCCAGCTCAGGGTGTTTTTCCCATGTGGAGTACAGGTGGAATGTGTGTTCATTTGGCACCTCTTTTTCCCATGCAGAGCCACCATCACCATCACTGATGTCACCTTTGAATGCAAGGGACACTATATTTCTTCAACTTCAGGCAATCACAGTTGTCCTGAAGTAGGTCACCATTTACGTGGACAGCACCCAGAACTCCTCGATAGTGGGGTCTCTTTACTTAAAAATAAAGATCAAGAATTTATAGTATTTCAGGATTGAAAGGAATCTTGCAGATTATTCTCACCAATTGATTCAGTTACAAATAAAGAACACTGACAATGACCCATAACGACTATTCTATCACATTTTGTCTCCATTTTCTCACTGATGGCCTGAGAGGTAAGCATTGACATTATATCCACTTTGCACATGAAGAAATTACGCCCAAAGATATGCTAGCTTGCCTGATATCCAGTAATGAGTTAATGGCAGCCTGGGGTTTTCAAACCTAACTCTTCTTCTTCTTATCTTAGAGTTGGGGTCTGGGTCTGTGCCCAGGCTGGAGTGCAATCACTGCCACATCAACTTCCTGGACTCAACCCATCCTCCTGCCTCAGTCTCCTGAGTAGCTGGGACTACAGGTGCCAGCCACATTGCTTGCCTAATTAAACATAAGATTTTGTTTCTTTTTTTTTGAGACAGAGTTTCACTCTTGTTGCTCAGGCTGAAGTGCAATGGTGCGATCTCAGCTCACTGCAACCTCTGCTTCCCAGGTTCAAGCAATTCTCCTGCCTCAGCCTCCCAAGTAGCTGGGATTACATGCACCCACCACCACGCCCAGATAATTTTTGTATTTTTAGTAGAGAAGTGGTTTCACCATGTTGGCCAGGCTGGTCTTGAACTCCTGACCTCAGGTGATCCACCCGCCTAGGCCTCCCAAAGTGCTGGGATTACAGGAGTGAGCCACCTCACCCAGCCTTAAAAAAATTTTTTTTGGGGCCGGGCGAGGTGGCTCATGCCTGTAATCCCAGCACTTTGGGAGGCCGAGGCAGGCAGATCACCTGAGATTGGGAGTTCGATACCAGCCTGACCAACATGGAGAAACACCATCTCTACCAAAAATACAAAATTAGCTGGGCATGATGGCACATGCCTGTAATCCCAGCTACTAGGGAGGCTGAGGCAGGAGAATCGCTTGAACTCGGGAGGTGGAAGTTGCAGTGAGCCAAGATCACACCATTGCACTCCAGCCTGGGCAACAAGAGTGAAACTCCGTCTCAAAAAAAATAAAATAAAATAAAAAAATAAAAATCGTTTTTTTGTAGAGACGGGGTATCACTATGTTGCCCAGGCTGGTCTTGAACCCCTGGGCTCAAGGGACCCTCCTTCCTTGACCCCCCAAAGGGATTATAGGCATGAGCCACTGTGCCTAGCCTCAAGCTTATCTCTTCTCACTGCATAGGCCATCTACCTGGAATATTCTCTCCCCCTGCCTTGTCTTGAGTTCCTACTCATCTTTCAGGTCCCTATGTGACACTGCTTCCCTGGTGACCCTTCCTTGCTCTTCCAAGTCTGGGTTAGAAGCCCTTCACCTGCCCTAATAAAACCTTGTACTCCTACAATTGCTTGTTTGTTTGCTCTACCACTAGTCCATGGAGGACTATTTATTTTTAAAACAAAAAGTTAATATTTTATTTTTAAATGTATGATTTACAGGTGGTAATTATACGTATTTATGGGATGCAGCATGATGTTCCAATACATGTATACATTGTGTAATGATCAAATCATGGTAATTAGCATATCCATCACCTTAGACATTTATTGTTTGTTATCAGAACATTCAAAAACTGCTCTTCCAGGTATTTTGAAATATACAATGCATTATTATTAACTGTAATCCTCCTCCTATGCAGTAGAACTCCAGAGCTTATTCTTCCTCTCTATCTATAGCTTGGCACCTGTTGATCCATCTCTCATCACCCCCCTGCTCCTTTCCCTTCCCATTCTCTGGTAACCACTGTTCTATTCTCTACTTCTATGTGGATTCCACATGAGTGAGATCATGCAATATTTGTCTCTCTGTGCCTGGCTTATTTCACTCAACATAATGTCCCATGGAGAACTATTTCGGTCTGCTGGTCACTGCACTTTCAACACCTTGCTTATGGTAGGCACTCACCGAATTAAGTTTAGCCACCCTTCTTTCCTCTATACCAGAGATCAGCAAAACCACAGCTGGGGGGGTCCAGTCTGGCTCGCTGCATGTTTTTAGACAATCTCTCAGCTAGAATGGTTTTATATTTTAAAATGGTTGGGAGAAAATCCAAAGAAGAAAAATGTTTTGTGACACATGAAAATTATATGAAATTCAAATTTCGGTGTCCATAAATACAATTTTATTGGAACACAGCCGTCCTCATTTGTTTACACAGGGCCTATGGCTGCTTTCACGTTACAATGGCAGGGCTAAGTTGTTGCCACATCTGACCACCGAAGCTTAAAATGTTTTCCATCTGGCCTTTACCAGAGAAGGTTTGCTGACCCTCTCCTCTGTATCTACGGATGTCCCTTGTATACCACTGTGCTTGCACTACATCAAGACAGCGATTGTGGACTTGATACCATTTTACAACTTTTTGCTTTATTTTCAAGATTTCCTCGTGAATGCCAGAATGACACGATATTTGGTAGCAAAGCATGAGCTTCAAAGAGAGGTTTGCGTGGGTCTAGATCCTGGCTTTGCTAGTTCCTAGTTGTGTGACGTTGGGCAAATCACTTTTCCTATCTGTCTTAATTTCTTTGTCAGTAAAATAAAGATAATACCAGTAGGGCTGTTTTGTGAGTTGATGTGTTAATAAGTAGAATGCACTCTGAGCAGTATTCACGCATAGTGAACACTCTGAAATGCTAGCTATTCTCACTGCACACGATCGCTTCTAGGGGCTACCTGTACCGCCAGTGAACTGGAAACTCACCCCACTGCACTTTGCCTGACACCGAGTGGCCCAAGCTTTGGCGAGAGGCAGTGCTGCCACACAGTGGCTCTATATGGGGTGGCTTGGCACACTCTTCCTTTTTTTTTTTTAGGTGATTGCAAATCTATGGATGAGACCAAGGGAGAATTTTCACGCCATCATAGCATTTTATTCCTCACCTGACTGGGAGCAGCTCGAAGGGAAGGACATGTCTCCAAAGACATGAGGAGTATTCAACGTGGCATTCGAGGCGCAAGGAAAAACCTGCCTATCCCAAGATCTCAGCCCCATCAGCCAGCCAAGGGATCCACAATGACCCTTATGAAGTTTCATAAGGAAGCTAATTGCTTAAATGAGATTTGAGTCAAGAAGGATGACCTAGCAATAACCTCTATATATCTCATTATGCCGTAAGTAACCAATAGAGGTTCTAGAAAATGCCATCCAATAGAGGTTCTGGAAAAATGGGACAAGAGACAGGTTAGATTAGATGGAAGAAAAGGCCTTCCATCTAAGCAAGGCCTGGCATGTGGAATGCTAGTGGGGGCCCTCTGGACTGTGCTGGCAGGGCAGGTAAAGCAGCCAGGAGAGAATGTGAAAGTGGAAAGATGCCCCGGGGTGACGTGCCATCACTTAGATTTTATTTATTTATTTAGAGACGAAGTCTCCCTCTGTCACCCAGGCTGGAGTGCAGTGGCGCGATCTTGGCTCACTGCAACTTCTGCCTCCCAGGCTCAAGCGATTTTCTTGCCTCAGCCTCCCAAGTAGCTGGGACTACAGGTGTGTGCCACCATGCATAGCTAATTTTTGCACTTTTAGTAGAGACAGGGTTTCACCATGTTGGCCAGGCTGGTCTCGAACTTCTGACCTCAGGAGATCTGCCCAACTCAGCCTCCCAAAATGATGGGATTACAGGCGTGAGCCACTGCACCCAACCAGGTTATTTTCAGAATTAGAGATGAATCTTAAAAATCAAAATTTCCCCAGTGTCCCAGACACATTCAAAGCAAAATTACATAGAGGTTCGGCATCCCTAGTCTGAAAATCTGAGATCTGAAATGCTCCAAAATCCAAAACTTTTTGAGAGTTAATGTGGCACCATCAGTGGAAAATTCCACACCTGACTTCATGTGATGGGTCTCAGTCGAACAGCAGCCAAAACTTTGCTTCTTGGACACAATTATTTAAAATAGTGTATAAAATTATCTCCAGGCTATGTGCATAAGGTGTATATGAAATATAAATGAATTTCATGTTCAGACTTGGGTCCCATCCCCAAGACATCTCATTATGTATATGCAAATTTTCCAACCTAGAAAAAACTTGAAATTCAGAACACTTCTGGTCCCAAGCGTTTTGGATATGGGATACTCAACCTGTAGTTTCATTTTAATTATTTTGATGTAACTTAACTGAGCATCAAATTTTAAATTTTTTTTTTTTAATTAGAAAACTTAAATGGCTACATAAGAGGACAGTCCAGTGACAGACATGGAAAGAGGCTTAGAGGTCATCTCATTCATCACACCATTTTACAGAGGAAAGCAAAATGCCATCCAGAGAAGGAAAGTCACAAAGCCATCTAACCCCAGACCTGGGAGTAGCAGCTGATCACAGCGGGTCGGACACAAGAAGCTGCTTCCAAAAATCTTTCCTTCCATTTGTCCTACAGAGAAGACATCAGAAAACAAAATTTTATAAGCATGTCTCTAGCTCTAACTCACTATTCAACTAAAGGACAAATTAAATAGGGAATGAGATAACCTTAACTTCATGAGATTTGTTCTTATATGCAGTTTTCTACCCTGAGAAACCAATCTATGCTAAAGATAATATTTGTGCTTTTCAATGAGGCTGGTAAAATATTTGCACTTTGAAGCTCAGAGCGATAACATTTATTCATTCGGGTGAAACTTATCAGGATTAGGTAAATATAATCGAAGCAAAACAAAAATGATTTGGGAAACTTTGTGACCAAAACCAACAGGCGTATTCAGTACTCCTTTGAAGGTCACCTAATTCTAATAACATTTATATTTATAAATGTCCTCTAAGTCTTTTATCTTCTGCAAATAAATTATTTCTCACAATTACAGGTTAGTCCAATACATCAGCCTATTTTCAGAGTCCAGAGTTCTAACCATTACACGATGGAACCAGCCTATTTTCAAGCACATACTCAGTGTCTCCAGGATGAGGACACATTGTGGGGCTTTTCACAACTTCTCTCTCCCATCACCTGCCCCTCTCCTTCCATATTTAATATATTGTTGCATTTCTGTCAAATTAGCTGGAAGAGTAGTGTTTAATCAGGTGTACACACTGCCACAGTAACCTGGAAACTTCAAATTCTACCCCTAATCACTAATGTTGAAGACTTGCTAAAACAGGTTTTTTTGTTTGTTTGTTTTGCTTTTTGAGACGGAGTCTAGCTCTGTTGCCCAGGCTGGAGTGCTGTGGTGCAATTATCAGCTCACTGCAACCTCTGCCTCCTGGGTTCAAACAATTCTCCTGCCTCAGCCTCCCGAGTAGTTGGGATTACAGACATGTGCCACGATGCCCAGCTAATTGCTTGTATTTTTAGTAGAGATGGGGTTTCATCATGTTGGCCAGGCTGGTCTCAAACTCCTGACCTCAAGTGATCCTCCTGCCTCGGCCTCCCAAAGCGCTGGGATTACAGGCATGAGCCACCGCGCCCACCTAAAGTTTTAAAAATTGTGTAAATAACACCTACCATAAAATTTACCATCTGAACCACCTTTGAGTGTGCAATATAGTGTTAACTATATTGCATATTGTTGTATGACAGATGTCTAGAACTTTCTCACCTTTGCAAAGTTGAAACTTCATACCCATCAAAGAACAACTCTCCATTTCCTCTCCCCCCAACTCCTGGCAACCACATTCTGCTTTTTGTTTTCATGAGTTTGATTACTTTAAATACCCCATGTTCGTGAAATCATGCAATATTTTTCTTTTTGTGACTGGCTAATTTCACTTAGCATAATGTTTGCTAATCATCTTTGACATGCACTGGTCTACCCAACAAACATGAGCTGAGGGCCTAGTGCTGGCTAACATTGCCAGGAATAGCTGTCATACTAGAAAAATCTACTTGTAAAATGGTAAAAATAGCAGTATGGATTTGTAGAGGGTTTTCACACATACTATGTCATCATCATTTAAAGCAGGGTTGCTCACCCTTGGCACTATCAATATTTTAGACCAGATAATTGTCTGTGGTGGGGCCTGTCCTGTTCATTGTTGCACGTTTAGCAGCATACGTGGCGTCTACCCACTAGATGCTAGTAGCATCCTCCCCCTCCCACTGTGACAACCAAAAACGTCTCCACGCACTGCTAAATGTCCCCTGTGGGGCAACCTTGGACGAATAAGCTACCTTCCAAAAGAAGTAAAATGCAGCTAACAAAACTTTATGAGGTTTGTATAATGACTTGTAATAGCAGGGCATGATGACATGCACCTGTAGTACCAGCTACTGGGGAGGCTGAGGCGGGAGAATTACTGGAGCCCAGGAGTTCAAGGCTGCAGTGCATTGTGATCCAGCCTGTGAATAGCCACTGTACTCCAGCCTGGGCAACATAGCAAGATCTGCTCTCTAAAGAGCAAAACAAACAAAAACAGTGTATGATGCTACCTGGCACATAACAGGCACTTAATAATAAGAGCTGTTATTATTTAATAACATCATATAAAATATATGAAATTGAGTAGCTGGATATTGAGTATAACCCATTAATGGGACGTTGAACAATAGAGGTTCACTGGATAGGAACTGGAATATTTTTATTCGAAATCTGGCTCTACCTCTAAGTAGATGTGTGATGTTGGCAAAATCACTGAGTCTCTTTGGGTCTCAGCTCTACCAACTATTAAGGGAGATTACATAAACTTGCCCTGTGTATTTTATAAGGTTATAATGATATTAAAAGTTATATAATAAAAGGAAGGTACTCTGAAAGTAGGAACTTGTTACACACGCAAGCCACTGTTATGATGCAAATTTTCTGTAACGACTTTATTGAAACTTAATTCATACACCATACAATTCTCCCTTTTGAAATGTACAGTTCAGTGGTTTTCAGTATATTCACACAAGGTTGTGCAACCATCATCTCTATCTAATTCCACAATATTTGTATTATCCCAAAAGAAACCATCCAACCATTACATCCCTGCCCCAACTCCCTGGGTCCCTGAGAGCTGCTAATCTACCTTCTGATTCTAAAGTCTTTCCTATTCTGAACATTTGACAACTAGAATATGGTATAAATTTTAATAGTTCCCTTCACAGTACTGTAACAGTCTAAGCTGTCTCACATTCTTTTTGGAAGAGAAGAGGTGTGTTTGTTTTATTAGAATAAACAATAGTGTTCTTTTTGTCAAGAATATTATATATGCATATAGTTAAAATTACATATATAGTTTATATATATATATATATATATATATTTTTTTTTTTTTTTTTTTTTTTGAGACAGAGTCTCGCTCTGTCACCCAGGCTGGAGTGCGATGGCACGACCTCAGCCCACTGCAACCTCCACCTCCAGGGTTCAAGTGATTCTCCTGCCTTAGCCTCCCAAGTAGCTGGGATTATAGACACACACCACCACACCTGGCTAACTTTTGTATTTTTAGTAGAGATGGGGTTTCACCATGTTGGCCAGGCTGGTCTCAAGCTCCTGACCTCAGGTGATCTGCCTGCCTCAGCCTCTCAAAGTGCTGGGATTACAGGCATGAGCCACGGTGCCCAGCCGTATTTTAACAATATTTTTATCCCAGAAATAGCTCAGGGATAGAATAAGTGTTCTAGAATTGTTCCCATGCTGCTCAGTGAATGTCAAACCACCTTTGTGACTGAAGCCCATGTAGAAAAGACTTGTGAAATAGTATTGTGGAAGCACTCTCATATTCCTGCCACCAGTAATGATTTTCCTTTGTTCTTTGAGGTTCATATTTGCTTTAGTTCTAAGACCCACAGGGGGCCTGTTTATTCCCAGCTAGTTTGCGTAAGAAAGGACGGTTTGTGAAATGCTTTATGAACAGGTCTGGCCGGCCAATCAAACACTCAGCATGGCGTTGTCAGGAAGCTTGCCTCTCACCAGAAGGGGCACATCTGGGAGTTCTCACTGTACTAGACCATCGCTAGGTGGAGATCAGGCAGCTCCAATGGAATACTTGAAAGTGGTTAAGAACGGACCCATTGTGATCCTTTTTTTCGGGGGGGAGAGTCTCACCATCTTTTTCAGGCTGGTTTTGAACACCTGGGCTCAAGCAATCCTTTCACTTTGGCCTCCCAAAGTGCGGGGATTACAGGTGTGGGCCACCATGCCTGGCCCCTAATATTTATTCATGTTCTACTTAAGAAATGCCTTTCCTATACCAAGGACTGAGGTAGATAGGTGCTGAGTATTTGGAATACAGGGGTGAGAAACAGATACTTTTTTTTTTTTTTTGAAACAGGGTCTCACTCTGTCGCTAAGGCTGGAGTGCAGTGGCATGATCTCAGCTCACTGCAATCTCTGCCTCCCGGGTTCAAGCCATTCTCCTGCCTCAGCCTCCCTAGTAGCTGGGACTACAGGTGCCTGCCACTGCGCCCAGCTAACTTTTGTATTTTTAGTAGAGATGGGGTTTCACCATGTTGGCCAGGGTGGTCTTGAACTCCTGACCTCAGGTGATCTGACCACCTAGGCCTCCCAACGTGTTGGGATTACAGGTGTGAGCCACCACGCCCAGCCCAGACACATTTCTTCCTACACAGATGCACACACATACATTCACATATACACAGAATAAAAAGACTGGGATATATACACAAGAATGTTAACAGTGGTTCTCACTGAGTTGTAGCATTATGGATTATTTTTATTACTTTTACTCTATTCCAGAGCTTGCACTGCTTTTATAAGCAGGGAAAAGATTTTGTTCAGTCTCAATGTGTGGAGCTAATTTCTGAAATCCAGAAATGTCAAAGCGGAAACTGCATCTGCTCTAGGAGTATCACAGTGGACCAAATACCACATCCTGAGACAGTACCATGTTTCAAACTATGGCAGGAGATCTGAAATTCCTGAAAGAAATACCCAGAGACTTCTGGGCAGTTTATGTTCATGAAAAGAAAAAAATATATCTGGTATTTTTATGAAGTTCTTTTCTGTGTTCTGAAAAACTTAATTCACTTTAATGAAATTAAGAGATTAATCAAGAATAAATTAAAACACTATCCTTTTTTCTACATATTCTTTCCAGATCCAGGAGAGGGTTCGGTGGGGGGAAGCAGTCATTTCTGGCCTTCCCTTGCCTTCTGACCTCCTGGCCACTGAAGTGCACAGGCCAACGCCAAATTTAATAACCTTCAGAGACAGATGTTTGTAAAGTGGAGCCCGGGCTTGATTAATTCAAACAGTGTCTAAAATCAGTGTTTGTTTTATTCCCTTATATTTGAAGTTTAAATGTCTACTGGTTATTGATCAACTTTTATTATGGATTTACTCATACAAAAAGGCTATTTGAAAAGGGCTAATCCCTCCCCCACCTTGAAAGTTGACAATTTAAACTAGCTCAGAAGAAGATCTGCGAAGCGGTAAAGAAACTTGCTTGGCTTTATTTCTTCCAGTGTTGCCCAAACTCATTTTTTTAGCTAAGTTTCTTTTTTATTTTGAGACGGGGTCTTGCTTTGTCAGCCAAGCTGGAGTGCAGTGGCATGAATATGGCTCAGTGAAGCCTCAACCTTCCGGGCTCAAGCAATCCTCCTGCCTCAGCCTCCCAAAGTTGAAGTGCTGGGATGACAGGTGTGAGCCACCACGAGTGGCCCTATGTGAGCTTGTTTGACAATACAGTCCTCTTTGGTAGGGTAATGTCTAATTGAATTATATAATGTCTGAAAATATATGTATATCTTTTTTTTTTCTTTTCAGACAGGGTCTTGCTTTGCTACCCAGGCTGGAATACAGTCGTGTGAACACAGCTCACTGCAGCCTTGACCTCCTGGGCTCAAGAGATACTCCTGCTTCAGCTCCTTAAGTAGCTGGGACTACAGGCACGTACCACCATGCCTGGCTAATTTTTTGTATTTTTTGTAGAGATGGGGTTTTGCCATGTTGTCCAGGCTAGTCTTGAACTCCTGAGCCCAAGTGATCCACCTGCTTTGGCCTCCCAAAGTGCTGGGATTTACAGGCGTGAGCCACCGTGTCTGGCCTTGCATATTATTTATAATGAGGAAGCTAACTTGATAATTGAGTTAATAGAATGAAGGCATGTTTAAAAAAATCAGGTGTTCTGACCAGACCCAGAGTTCCCACTTTGACTTGGAGAAAAGTTTAATTTGTAAATTTATACATTCCTATAGCATTTGAATTTGTCATAATAAGCAAATGCCTTTGAAATATTGAGGTTTTAAAAAGAGATTAAAATGCCATTAAAAGACACATATGCCAAAAGAAATGCAAAGAAGTGGATGAGGTTCAGGCCAGGGAGAAAAACAAACAAACCTGGGAACAATAAGTTGCACCAAATTGGGGTTCAGGGACAAATTTTTATAACAATTAGAAAATAAAGATACAATAACAGCAACAAGAAGAATCCAATAATGGTGAATGTGAACCTCAGAAGAGAGCACGGTAGGAGAGCCTGACACAGGAGTGAAAAAGCCGAAGGAAGCTCAGCTCTGCAGGATACTGAATCAGCAAGAGCAGGGCCAAGGATGAAGGTTTACAATTCTCAGTAGCCTTCTTCTTTCATGCCACTGGTGTTTAAGTTCAGAATCAAGGAACATTCTAGCGTATACATTATCGGGAATAAGTCAAGTAAGTTGTTAAACCAAAATGAAAGCTTAATTAGATAGCAATTCAGTAATCAGGACGCATATTTCATCGTTACTATAGCCAACAGTTTGCAAACATAGGACATCACACAGCACGGGACAGTGAACTCCGAAAGAGGGGAAACTAATGATATGAGCCCCGCGATTGCCCCAGCTTACTGAGTACAGAGTTATTCTGCCACAGGGCAGGCAGAGGAGTCCAGGGGGAGCCTGGCCATCTCCTTGAATGGAGCAGACAGATTTGAGAGTTTGAGGAGGTCAAGACTGCTGAGGTTCCTAGGGTGGAGTTACTGTGAAGGAGATAGTCCAGAGAGAGAACTCCAGACACATGCAAGAGGGTCTCCCTCAAGTCTTTAGCTAACGACCGATCAGGAAATATGCAAAGAAATGACCCAATGCCAAGGAAAGAATGACCCGAGGATTAGAGAAAAGAAACAGCAAAGCTTACACGGGGCTAACAATTGTTTGTGTTCCTTCCAGCTGGAGTAGAAAAACCTTGTAATTCTAAGTCATTAGGTAGTATACTTAGAAGGGGATTGCCTCAGCACAGTCAAACTAGATGAACAGCTGCCACAAAACCACGAAGGATATAGAAGGTCGACCTATTTGACATAGAAAGAGCCCTTCACCCAACAATATGAGAATATACATTCTTGGCCGGGCGTGGTGGCTCGTGCCTGTAATCCCAGCACTTTGGGAGGCCGAGGCGGGTGGATCACTTGAGGTCAGGAGTTCAAGACCAGCCTGGCCAACAAGGTGAAGCCCTGTTTCTACTAAAAATACAAAAATAGCCAGGCGTGGTGGCTCATGCCTGTAGTCCCAGCTACTTGGGAGGCCGAGGCAGAAGAATTGCTGGAACCCAGGAGGCAGAGGTTGCAGTGAGCTGCGATCACACCACTGTACTCCAGCCTGGGTGACAGAACAAGAGTCCGTCTCAAAACAACAACAACAACAAAGAATACACATTATTTTCATGTACACATTTACCAAATAGATCATCTTCTGGGCCATAAAGCAAGTCTTGATAAATACACCAGGGTTCAGGTCCTATAAGGAACGTTGCTTCTCATGTGCCCACTTCCCCTTTGACCTTCTCTGCCATGTTTTGACGTAGCACAAGAGCCCTTACCAGCAGCCAAGCAGAAGCCAGTGCCATGCTTCTTGTACAGCCTGCAGAACCATGAGCCAAAAAAGTACCTTTTCTTTTTTTTTTTTAAAGGATGTTCTCTGATCACGTGGAATTAAGTTGGAAATCGGTAACAGGAAGATATCTGGAAAATGCCCAAATATTTGGAATTTCAGACCATACTTCTAAATAATTCGTAGTCCAAAAGAGACACTAAAAGGGAAATTAGAAAGGACTTTGTGCTTAATGAAAATGAAAACATGATGTATCAAAATTTGTGGGATTCAGCTAACGCAATGCAGAGAAAAATTTACAGCATGAAATACCTACATTAAAAAAGAAGAAAGTTCTCTCATCAATGACTTCAGTTTCCTCTCTAACAAAATAAAGCAAGAGGCTATATTAAACCCAAACCATGCAGAATCAAAGAAATACTAAAGATAGGAACAAAAATCAATAAACTGAAAAACAGGAAAAAAATGGGGAAAAAAAAATCAATGAAGGCAGAAGCATGTTTTTTTTTTTTAAGATTAAAATTTTTTTTCTTCAACTTTTAAGTTCTGGGGTACATGTGCAGGATGTGCAGGTTTGTTACATAGGTAAATATGTGAGAAGCATGTTCTTAAAAATAAAGACCAATAAAGTTGATTTTTTAAATAATGAGGAAAAGATTTGAACAGATTATTAAAGAAGACACACAGAAGGTAAATAAATACCTGAGAAGATATTCAAAATCATTATTCATTGCAAGCTTAGTGCTAATTAAAATCACAAGGAAATATTGTTATAATCCCACTAAAATAGCGAAAATTAAAGAGATTGGCCATACCGTGTGTTGGTGAGATGTGAATCAACTGGAAATTTCCTATCCTGCTGGAAATGTAAAATCACACAAACACTTTGGACAATAGTTCAGTAGTTTCCTAAACTCTTAAATATACCCGTCGTAAGACCTATCCATCCCCTCTAGGTACAATTGCTTCTCATTATTCGAGGTAGTTATTTCTATAAAGTTGCCACAAACTGAATTAGCTAACTCTGAAATATTGTCGCTAGAGGATATATATCTAACATGGATTATAATCTTAAATCTCCAAGACAACTCATCCTGATTGATTTTCTTTTATTTTATAAAAGAGAAAACTATGTTCCAAAGTGTTAAGAGTCTTGCCTGAGATACTCCACCAAGGGGCGTTTTCTGCTACTGATTTCCAACTTAATTCCGTGTGATCAGAGAATATTCTTTTAAAAACATCCAAGGTCCTAATGCTCCGGGATCTACAGGCGCCGGAGGTGAGATTCAGATCTGTCCAGCTGGCCCCACAGCTGCAACTTTTTGCCCTATAATGTATAATGTTCCCTCCCGTTTCTCTTTTTTTTTTTTTTTTGAGATAGAGTCTTGCTCTGTCGCCCAGGCTGGAGTGCAGTGGCATGCTCAATCTCAGCTCACTGCAACCTCCACTTTCCAGGTTCAAGCGATTCTCCTCCCTCAGCCCCCTGGGTTGCTGGGATTACAGGCGCCTCCACCACGCCTGGCTAATTTTTTGTATTTTAGTAGAGATGGGGTTTCACCATGTTGGCCAGGCTGGTCTCGAACTCCTGACCTCACGTGATCCACCTGCTTCGGCCTCCCAAAGTGCTGGGATTACAGGCATGAGCCACCATGCCTGGCCCCGTCTCTATTTTCTAGTCACCTCTGTGTATGAGCTGAAACAAGAAAGTAGAGTCATCTTGTTCAACCTTAGCTGGGAATGTGCAAGCCTGGGAACTTAGACTTTTGGCAGCTCTGCACATATGGGCAAGTGACCATGAATACTACTTGTAAGGTTAATACTTTTGGGGTTACACAAACATGTTAATGAGTAGGTGAATTTAAAACACATAACCCGCAAATAAGGATCAACTATATTTATTCCAGGGAATTCAAATCATATGTTGGTATATACTCTTGTATATAGCTGTTTATGACATCTTTATTTAAAAAAAAAAAAAAAAAAAAAGCCTGGCACAGGGGCTCATGCCGGTAATCCCAGGACTTTTTGAGGCTGGATGGGCAGATCACAAGATCAGGAGTTCGAGACCAGCCTGTCAACATGGTGAAACCTCATCTCTACTAAAAATACAAATATTAGCCATGCATGGTGGCGTGCGCCTTTAATACCAACTACTCGGAGGCAGAGGCTGTAGTGAGCTGAGATCGCGCCACTGCACTCCAGCCTGGGTGACAGAGCAACACTCCATCTCAAACAAATAAAAAAAAAGTGGAAGTAATACTAATGTCTATCAGCAGGTGAATGGATTAAAAAAAGTATGGTATAGTCATACAAGGGAATACTTCCCAGTAATAAAAGGAGTAAACTATTAATACGTGCAACAACATGGACAAACCTCAAAATATTAATGCTGAAAGAAGCCATACCAGAAAACAAAGTTCCTGCTATAAGATTTCATTAATATAGAAATCTAGAAAATGCAAACTAAAAGTGCAAACTTTCTATAGCGACAGAAAGTCAATCAGCAGTTATCTGGAAGGGAGACATCTCAAAGGGACCCGGGGAAACCTTTTGGGGCTGATGAATATGTTCTGTGTTTTACTGAAGTGATGATTTCACAGATATTTTAATAAGTTAAAACTCATCAATTGTACATGTATGTGAAGTTTATCTCAATTATATCTCAGTGTTGCTAGGTTGGGTGGAATATGGGAGAAAGAAAAAATTAAATTGGTATAGTAATCTATATCCATTAAATTCTATAGAATGGGGCTGGGTGCCGTGGCTTATGCCTGTAATCTCAGCACTTTGGGGGGTTCGAGGCAGGCGGATCACCTGAGGTCAGCAATTGGAGACCAGCCTGGCCAACATGATGAAACCCCGTCTCTACTAAAAATGCAAAAAAATTAGCTAGACATGGTGGTGCACACCTGTAAACCCAGCTACTGGGGAGGCCAAGGCAGGGGACTCGCTTGAACCCAGGAGGTGGAGGTTGCAGTGAGCCGAGATTGTGCCACTGCACTCCAGCCTGGGCAACAGAGCAAGACTATGTCTCAATAAATAAATAAAATTCTATAGAATGGTTATTACATTAGTAAATTAAAATCTAGCTGGGCGCAGTGGCTCACACCTATAATCCCAGCACTTTGGGAGGCCAAGGCAGGTGGCTCATGAGATCAGGAGATCGAGACCATCCTGGCTAACACAGTGAAACCCCATCTCTACTAAAAATACAAAAAATTAGCCGGGCATGGTGGCAGGCACCTGTAGTCCCAGCTACTTGGGAGGCTGAAGCAGGAGAATGGTGTGAACCCGGGAGGTGGAGCTTGCAGTGAGCCGAGATCAAGCCACTGCACTCCAGCCTGGGCGACAGGGTGAGACTCCGTCTCAAAAAATAAATAAAAGATGAAAAATAAATAAATAAAAATCTAATCTATTGAATAACTGAATTCTAATCTATTGAATTCAATAGAATGGTTAAATACCAAATTAATGCATATTGTACTGCCTAAGATATGAATGAATGGAATGATATGGAATATTTGCAAACACTTGTAACACACAATGTGCCATGCGCTGTTCTGTGCTCTTTACATACAATGAATCATACTCACAGCAACCCTATGAGAGGGATACTATTATTATCCTCCTTTTACCCAAGAAAAATATGAGGCACTGAGAAGTTGATTAACTCTCCCAAGGTCACACAGGCTTGAAGCCATAGAACCACGTCTCAAAAGCAGGCAGTTTGGTGCCAGAATCCATGCTGTTAGCAGCAAAGGTCCATCATGTTATTTTTTTCTTTTTTTTTTTTTTTCAAGATGTAGTTTCGCACTGTCACCCAGGCTGGAGTACAATGGTGCAATCTAGGCTTACTGCAAACTCTGCCACCGGGTTCAAATGATTCTCCTGCCTCAGCCTCCCGAGTGCTGGGATTACAGGTGCCCACCACCACGTCCAATTATTTTTGTATTTTTAGTAGAGACGAGGTTTCACCATGTTGGCCAGGCTAGTCTCGAACTCCTGACCTCGTGATCTGCCCGTCTCGGCCTCCCAGAGTGCTGGGATCACAGCCGTGAACCACTGTGCCCGGCCTGGGTCCATCATTTTCTTCTTGAAGGAAGACAACTAACATTTATTGAGCAGCTACTACATATCAAACACTATGTTTAGTCCTTCCGCATTCACTGTCCAACTTAATTCTCACAATTACTCAAGAGGAAGCTATTATTATCCCAAGTTTTTAGATGAAAAAGCTTAAATCCAAACCAGGTCCCACTGTGATTTTATGCATGAGCTGTATTTAAACTTTATTACATCGGCCTTGCCCTCCACGTCTTTTCCACTGGTCTATTTCCTGTTCACCTCTACGTCCTACATCCACAGTGCCCAGGACAAAATTTAACTGCTAAGTTAGCTATGAAAGGATGGACACATTCTCCCTCACAATACAATGAAATGGCAAATTATAAACAGGGGAGGATGGAGCCAGGTGATCCCCAGTTCTCAAAAAACAATCTAACACTTTTCCCCCAGGTGGTAGAGTTTAATCCCCCCACCCCTGAGGGTACACTGATTTCATAACTCACATCCAAAGAATGGGGTATGGAAAGAGAAAAGGGGTCACTTTACTGTGGAGAAGCCTGGAAAACATTATCTTGACCGAGGGATCAAAGATAACCCCTCAGCGACATCCTGTGTCTACTGTACCCCCGATTTGGCATGATGAGAAGGGCGTTTTACAACTCTGTGGTATTCTTTCCCCCCAGAACTCACAACTGCAGTCTAAGCATGAGAAAAATGCATCGAACAAACCCAAATTGAGGACCATTTGAAAAAATACCTGGCTAGTATTCCTCCAAACTGTCAAGGTCACGAAAAACAAGGTAAGACAGAAACTGTCATAGAGCAGAAAAGACTAAGGAGGTACAACAACCAAACACAACGTGTAATATGGGCTGGATCCTGGAACAAAAAGCAACCTGAATGGAAAAACTAGTGAAATCAGAATAAAGTCTGGGGTTGAGTTAGTATAATGCATCAGTGCTAATTTCTTAGTTTTGACAAATGTACCACAAATGTAATATGAGTTGATAATATTAGCAGCAACTAAAATTGGACAATGGGTATATAGGGATTCGGTACTACCTTTGCAAATTTCTTGTACATTTAAAAAAATTCCAAAATAAATTTTTTTTAAAAAAACCTAATCAGCAGCCCTTACTCAGGCAAAAGCAGAGCGTGGTCCGTTTTTGCTTAGGAAGAGATATTTAGGGGCGTGGTGGGCACAGCCTGCCTTTCAGACCACCCTTGTATCGCTATGGAGCCTGTGGCCCTGCAGCCAGGTCTCCAGCACAAGCCCTGAGTCCACAGAGCACCAGCTGGGTTATGTTTAATACTTTGTTAGAGGAGCTTAAGCATTAACCTCCCTCCAAGTAGAAAATTGACCTTACACAGAAAATAAGGGTCAATGTTCCTTAATTGTGGCATCTCTTCATAATCTGATTCAATAACACTCCAGAAAAATTTGGGATACAGGGCCAAAAGTCTGCTAATTGGGCTGCCCCACTGGTGAGAAGAGCAGAGTCCTGGTTCCTGAGTGTTAACTGTATGAACTTCAGCAAGATTCTGAACTCAGAGGAGCTGAGGTGATAGCTAGATGGATGAATGGATGAATTGACAGACGGACACAACTTAAAGAGTTTTCTCTCAGCAAACTCCTTCCTTAGCCAGGCATTAGTGGTGCAATCTCAGAATTTTCCAGAATACTACACCTTTCCCGTAAAATCCTACCAGCCTCACATTATAACTTCACAGAGCTTTTATTTTGCTTTTTAAAAATTTGTTTGGTTTTGTTTCACAAACAACATTACTGTATGGTAATGAATACTAATAGTTAGTTGCCCCTCAGAGAACAGTAGACAGACTTTCCCGATCCAAATAAGAGCAATTTTGGGGCTGGGTGCAGTGGCTCACCCTGTAATCCCAGCACTTGGGAAGGCCAAGGTGGGCAGATCACTTGAGATCAGGAGTTCGAGAGCAGCCTGGCCAACATGGTGAAACCTCGTCTCAACTAAAAATACAAAAATTAGCCAGGCATGGTGGCAGGCACCTGTAATCCCAGCTATTTGGGAGGCTGAGGCACGAGAATTGGTTGAACCTGGGAGGCGGAGGTTGCAGTGAGCCGAAATCACACCACTGCACTCCAGCCTGGGTGACAAGAGCGAGACTCTGTCTCAAAAAAAAAAAAAAAAAAAAGGGTGAATTTGGCCAGTGTAGGGTCATGAGGGCTGTGTGCTTGGGGGCAGGTTATGGACCAACTGCTGTGTAAGCCTGTTGCATTTACAAAGTAGGCAATAAATCATACAGTTTAAAAAAATCACTTGAGAGAATGCACTAGAGCAGATCATACTTATACACATGCACGCACGCATGCACACGCATGCACACACACACATGCACGCACATATTCCAGAGAGTAACATGAAGTTTTCAGAATCTAAGGATTCCAGGTGTTTCCTGCTTTCACCGCCAGGGAAGCAGAAATGACCGCTGTTAAACAGACATCCCCTGCAAGAAGTCCTCAGCGCTAGTTCGACGCATTTGGTACACAGCAGAGAGAGACCATGAGCCCTGGGTGCTATCACAGAACTATAGCCGTGCATGGCTTTTGCAAAGGCGATTCCAAAACAACCGAGAAAACGGTAGAAGCAAGGCTGTACCAGGCTTTCTGCTGCCGACCACACACTTTCAAAAATCAATGACTGCTGCTGTTAACAGGCACTTATTAAGGGTGGCCCGGACCTTAATGATCACTAAGATCCTCCCAGGAAGAGCGACTATCACTTGAGTAACTACTGAACTTCATCCAAATAAATTTCCCATCCCACTACTAATGTTTTCATGCAAAGAACCAAAGACTTTATATCTTTTTAAAAGTAAAAAAACAAAACCAAACCAAAATCCGACATTGGCGATGCACACACAGGTCTGAGCAGGTTTCCCTTGTTACCCACTGTGGTTCGGAGCCGCAGTACCTTTGTCGCCTTCCTGCCCAGTTACTTTACTGCAAGGGGGACCGTAATCCTTGACGCCACCTTTTTGCGTTCCTTGTGGAAACAGGCGCTGCCCCGACTACATGCTTTTTCCACGTCGGAGTCGGCGCAGCAGCTCCAAAGCCTTCCAGTCCTCACAGACTCAGCAGAGCTGGCAGGGCCAGCGGGCACCACTGAGTCCCGCGGAGCCAGGCCCAGTCTCTTTGCTTTACTGACGCAAATGTCTGCGGAACTTTTTTTTGACTTGACGTCTATGGTAAGATAAATGCTACCACCACTAAAGGTAGCAAAGAAATGGCCTGGTGACCTTTCAAAAACCTTTTGCCAGACTTTTTCAAATCTCTGATTTCGATTCGGGCAGAGAGGGAGAGCCAAGATTCTGGGGTAGGCTGCCCAGACCTAAGAGGTAGGAGACGGTCTCTTAATGTTTAAGAGGGGGACGTGGAAATGACATTTTTCTCAAGGCAAGTTTGCACTTGGGGCACGATCAAACTTGTGCATGCACTTCACTCAACAATGCTTTTTGCACTATAAGGCGACAGTGGTTGATGTTTTGAGAAGGTGAGGCCCTGGGAGTTGGGTGCAGGTATATCTGGTTTTGATTCTTTCCCCTCCCCAGGGTTCTCAGATGCCAGCTGAGGTCTCATCCATCCACACAGCAGTAGGAAACCAAGGTCCTAATGCTCCGGGATCAATGTGAACTTGTGTGTGTGTGAGAGAGAGAGACGGAGTCTCGCTCTGTCTCCCAGGCTGGAGTGCAATGGCATGATCTCAGCTGACTGCAACCTCCGCCTCCCCCCTCCTGGGTTCAAGCAATTCTCCTGCCTCAGCCACCCAAGTAGCTTGGATTATAGGTGTGCATCACCATGCCTGGCTAACTTCTGTATTTTTAGTACAGTTTCACCATGTTGCCCAGGCTGGTCTTGAATTCTTGACCTCAGATTATCTGCCTGCCTCAGTCTCCCAAAGCGCTGGGATTACACGCTTCAGCCACGGCGCCCCGCCGTGAACATTTTAGTAATCCATTGCAGAGTTCCATGAAATCCGTTTAACTGGCTCATTGGAATTGATAAGGATTATCTATTGCATTCAAGACTAAGACTGAACTCACGGTGGCCACTCAGAGCTACCAAAGACCACCCTGGTGCGATGAATCATGTTTTTGACCCCCGTAACCAGTTCGTTTCAAGCACCACTAGAGAAAACGGGTCCATTTAAACTTCAGGACTTTTTTTCCGCCGTTCCTCATTTTTAGTCGTCATCCACAGATTTTCATTCTTTCCAAAAGCATGTAAACATATTTATATGGAGGTGAAGACACCAGCTCACATGACATGGATGCAGCACTGGTACATAAACTTATTTACCAGGCACAATGGCTCATACCTGTAACCCCAGCACTTTCGGAGGCCAAGGCAGGCAGATCACCTGAGGTCAGATCGAGACCAGCCTGGCCAACGTGGTGAAAATCTTTATTAAAAATAGAAAAATAGGCCAGGCAGAGTGTGTCACTCCTGTAATCCCAGCACTCTGGGAGACTGAGGTGGGCAGATCACAAGGTCAGGAGATCAACAACATCCTGGCCAATGTTGAGAAATCTCATCTCTACTAAAAATACAAAAAAATTAGCCAAGTGTGGTAGTGGGTGCCTACAGTCCCAGCTACTCAGGAGGCCGAGAGAGGCAAGCCACTTGACCCCGGGAGGCAAAGATTGCAGTACACAGAGGACACCACTGCACTCCAGCCTGGGCAACAAAACCAAAAATGATCAGTAAATAATTTGGCTGGGCCTAGTAGCACATACCTGTAATCCATACTTGGGAGGCTGAGACAGCAGAATCGCTTGAACCCGTGACATAAGCCACAGTGTGCCAAGATAGTGCCACTGCACTCCAGCCTGGGCAGCACAAGTGAAACTGTCAAAAGAAAAAAAAAATCCTCTATAGTTTTCACAACTGCGTGTGGAATTAGTGGGTTCTCAGTCTGACTTCAAGCATGAAGCTGTGGACCCTCACAGAATTACAATTGTTAAACATGTGACCCCAGTTTATTTCTTCTGTTCAGATGTGCTCAAAGTTTCTTCTCTCTGGTGGGTTTGCCTCTTTTGTTTCTTCTCTATAGTGGGTTCGTGCTCTTACTGACTTCAGGAATGACATTACAGATCTTCACATTGAGTGGACTGGGAGCATTACACACCTTCCTAATCTCACTAACTTAAAAACTGAAGCTACCTACTTTCCCACTGAGTGCTACAGCTTTTTTTCAGAATCCCGCTGCTTTAACGACCAAAGCTACAGACAGAGATGGTAAACCTCCCAGCTCTTAAGCATAGAACACCTACCGTGATTCATCCCACCCAGTTGATTCTTTATTCACTACTTCTGGCAGAGTAGTAATCTTAGTCTATAACTGAAGCTACAGACTTTTACTATTAGTCCTGCAGATCAAAAAGATAACACAAACCCAAACAACAAGTCTATAGCAACACAAAGAACAGACGTAAACCAGTTATCCTTATTGATTCAGGCAGCCTGCTTTTATTCCCTTATCTGACCCCACCCACATCCTGCTGATTGGTCCATTTTACAGAGAACTGATTGGTCCATTTTACAGAGTGCTGATTGGTCCATTTTACAGAATGCTGATTGGTCCATTTTTGACAGGGTGCTGATTGGTGTGTTTACAAACCTTTAGCTAGACACAGAGTGCTCACTGGTGCGTTTACAATCCTTTAGCTAGACACAAAAGTTCTCCAAGTCCCCACAAGATTAGCGAGACACAGAGTGTTGATTGGTACTTTTACAAACCTTTAGCTAGACACAGAGAATGCTGATTGGTGAGTTTACAATCCTTTAGCTAGACACAAAAGTTCTCCAAGTTCGCACCCCTCCCAGAAACCCAGCCGGTTTCACCTCTTACCGGCAGGCGCTGGGGCACTTTGCAGCACCCAATTCGGGCACTCTGGCAGCCCAGAGGGAGCTTTTTCCCTAGTCAAGCCCAGCAGACGTCAGTTGACAGTGAAGTTCGGCGACTGCCGAGACCGCGCGCCGGCCACGAGCGCCGCGCGCAGCCCCGGCTCCCGCCCGCGGCTCTCCCTCCACACTCCCTGCGAGCAAAGGAGCTGGCTTCAGCCTGGGCCAACCCCAGAGAGCGGTTCCCACAGCGCAGCGGTAGGCTGAAGGGCTCCTCAAGCACGGCCAGAGTAGGCGCCGATAGCGAGGGAGGGCTGCTGGCACATTGTCATTTCTCGGTTCCACGTTACAATTGAGAAAATGGAGGCAGGTGAAGTCAAGTAACTTGCCCTAAATCAGAAAGTGAGAGATCTGTTTTGAATCTAAGTATCCTAATTTCAATGCCCATGCGCTGTTGATTGACCACACTGCCAAGTTCCACCCAGCCACCTTGACCTTCCACAAGAACCTCAGCCCAGGGATGACAGGGCCTGCAAGAAATCCCACCACTAGAGGCTCTGAATTCCATGTTGGCATGGGAGTTACCAGTTACACTAGAGTCAGACTTGTTGAGTTTGTGCCCAACAATAAAGTGTCCGCAAACCTCACTTAACTTCTGGAAGCTCTGATTTCCTTATCCATTGAAGGGAGATGCTGGCTGGGTGCGGTGGCTCACGCCTGTAATCCCAACACTTTGAGAGGCTGAGGCGGGTGGTTCACCTGAGGTCAGGAGTTTGAAACTAGCGTGGCCAACATGGTGAAACCCCGTCTCTACTAAAAATACAAAAATTGGCCGGGTGTGGTGGCACGTGCCTCTGGTCCCAGCTACTCGGGAGGCTGAGGCAGGAGAATCTCTTGAACCCAGGAGGCAGAGGTTTCAGTGAGCCGAGATTGCGCCACTGCACTCCAGCCTAGGTAACAGAGCTACACTCTGTCTCCAAAAAAAAAAAAAAAAGGGTTGGGGGGTGGCGAGATGTTACTAGTATTCCACTTGTAAGATAGTTTTGAATATCAGGTAAGATAAAGCATAGTAAATCCAGGTCTGTCTATTCTATACCGCTCAGCTCTGAGCAACCCCTGCCAGTAGGTAATGAGAAACCAAGGCAATTTTCCCTGGTTTTGTGCTTCCAAATAGTCTTTTTATTTTATGGAATCTTTCAAAAACTTTAGGGAAATATAATTGTCTGATTTCTAAAGCCATTTGTTCATTCATTCATTCATTTCACAAGAACACATTGCAAGCCCAGAGCCCCTCGTTTAAAAAAAAAAAAAGCCTTCAATTTAACACAGATGAACAAATGAAGTCTAAGGCACTGGGTGGTCAGCATCTGAAGGTGGGGCCTGGACAGAGGGTCTTAAAAGTAGTGGTCCTCAGCCTTTTTGGCACCAGGGACTGGTTTTCGTGGAAGACATTCCATGGATGAGTTACTGGGAGTTGGGACTTCCACAGATGAGGATGGATGAGGGCAGGGATGGTTTTGGGATAAAACTGTTCCACCGCAGATGATCAGGCATTATGTTTTCATAAGGCATGTGCAACCTAGACCCCTTGCATGTGCAGTTCAAAATAGGGTTAATGCTCCTGTGAGAATCTAATACCACCACTGATCTGACAGGCGGTGGAGCTTAGGTGGTAATGCTCGCAAACCTGCCACTCACCTCCCGCTGTGTACCTGGTTCCTAACAAGCCACAGACTGGTACCTGCCTGTGGCCCAGGGATTGGGGACCCCTCCTTTAAAAGAACTCAAGAGCAGTTGAGAACCCCAGAGATTGGGGAAGTCTCCACAAAAAAAAAATGTTGAGCCTTTGGGCCTGGAAAGATTTGGATAGAAACACCAACACAAATGTTCCACTCTCCAGATAAACTAAAGTTGACAAACACCTGGGGCATCAGATTAATACTGGGAATCTTGGGCTCATTTCCACCTTGGACAGGCTTCCCCCACAAGAGTTTTAATGCCTTTTCTTCCTGACACATGTCCGCACGTAAACAGTAATCAATGCTTAGGTTGTGTTTCATTAAGACATCAGCAAACAGCATCTTTCCTGCACTAGCAAAGCATGGGTTTGCAAGGACTATTTCAAAAGCTCAGAGCTCCTATCTCAAGAGCGTAAGGCTGGACTGTGAGAGCTCAGGTCCAGAGAAGCCAGGAAGCACTCCTTCTTCCCCAGTCAGAATGGCAGTGGCAGGTAGCGTGTGCTATTCCTGCCCACTTTGTGGAGCTGCTCTGTTCTGATGCCTGTGGCAGGGTGGTCTGGTGGCTAAGAGGCCATGAGAGCAAATTTGGCTTCAAATTCCTGTTCTTTGGTCTTTACTATCATCTTAGGCAAGGTGTATATCTCATCTCAGTCTAGTTTCATCATTCCTAAGAGATGGACTGTTACGGACTGAACTGTGTCCTCCCAAATTTCATCTGTTGAAGTCCCAACTCCCAGTAACTCAGACTGTTACTGTACTTGGAGATAGGGTCTGTAAAGAGGTAATTAAGGTAAAATGAGGTTATAAGGGCATGGCCCTAATCCAATAGGACTGGTGTTTTTCTAAGAAGAGGAAGAGACACCAGGAGCATGTCACAGAGGAAAGGTCATGTGGGGACACAGGGAGAAGATGGCCGTCTGCAGGCTAGGAAGAGAGCCTTCACCAGGAACTAACCCTGCTGGTAACTT